>NW_003871074.1:0-191409 GCF_000001405.40 Homo sapiens
CTTTTAGTATATATTTTCCATAAGAGCAATTCTCAAATTCCTTTATTTGTGGTAGTAATATTTAGGCTTCACTACAAAAACAATTTGGAGGGATACAATTAAGTGCTAAAGAGAATTTATTCACTTATGAGGCAACTCTCTAAGTGCAGTCTTCGGGAGACTTTTGTCCAAGGGTAAGCTGGGTTCTTCCGAAGCCGAAGAGGAAGTTAGAGATTCTCTCTACATGCAAGGATTTGTTGTTGTTGTTGTTGTTAGCTCTCCCCTTGGCTGCTTAATGTCCTTATTCCATATAGTCCCAATTCCTCTCTCCATCCATATTTTTAGTGTATCATGCAACCTCTGGAAATGTTTAGCTTTTAATTGATATTGCCTCGTTCTGTTTAATTGCTTTATTTGCCACTTTCTCAAGCTATAAAACCATGAGGAAGTCCATGACTATAAACACTTGGGATCTAATCATCTTTATAAAAGATTCTGAAACTAGCTGATTTTAATGTTGGAATATGGGAATGAGGTGTTTGCTGCAAATTTTGGCCAATTGTATGAGTCAGTTATTGCCAGTGACATAGAAATGTTGCTTTAGTCTTTAGTCCCACAATAACTCAACATCCATTTACATTCTGTTATGTTACAGGAACCACAAAGCCTCGTTTTCATACCTCACCATTATTCTATGGCAACTTCTGAAACTGCTGAGAGTGAAAAGATAGATTTAACTGCATCTACTATTTGTGGTGAAAGGGGCAATTTGTGTTAAATGAACGGGTGGAAAATAAAACCATACAATTAAAACAATAAGTGAACAAAACAAACTACAAAACATGCTCTTCTTGAACTGGCATCCTAGTGGATGGGGATAGATAGCAAATAAGATAAATAAGTCAACTACACAGTGAGCCAAAGAGTAAGTGCTCTGGAGAATAATAAGCAGGGAAGGAGGCTAGAGGGTGCTGAGGGTGTGAAAGGAGGCACAATTTTAACAGGGATGGTTGGGGAAGACCACAGGGAGAAGGCTACATATTCTTGAGCAACTGAAAGGGATGAAAAAAATTCTAGGCAGGATGACTTGCTGGCCTGCAGATGGTCACCTCTTTACTGTGTCCTCACATGGCAGAGAAAGAAAGAGGTTTCTCTCTCTTCCTCTTCTTACAAGCCCATCAATCCTATAGGATTGGGATCCCATCTTATGACCTCATTTAACTCAATTTTCCCCTAAAAACCCTATCTCCAAATGAAGTCACACTGGGGAGCCTTAAAATGTGAATTTTGGAGGGACACAATTTAGTCCATAACAGCTATCTACCTCATCATTGTTATAAAGAGTGAAAATGATATGTCTAAAGTAGCTAGTACAGTGCCTTGCTTAGGACATATATTTCTTCTTTTTCCTCTTTCTCTATCTCCAATTCATTATGAGTAATTTTGTTATTAGGAAATAAGCCTAACCTGATTCCGTGAATAACTGTGTGGCCTAATCAGGTTTTCCAGAATGATCTAAGCCATGAAATTTTCAAGCACTTCTGATACAGAGGGTGAGCTCAGTGACAATATTAACGTTTTCAGGATCTATGGTCTAGGAGTCCATTATAGAACTATGGTGTTAGAGGTGAGTGTTCTGATCTGGAGAAGGGGTAGAGTGGAGTGTTTATACATCCATTATGGAGGCTGGCTGTGCATGCATTGATCTGTTTAGTGCTAGTTGCCCCCCAGTCCTACTGCACTATTTGCCATACCACCTGAAGTTTCAAGCTATTTAACACTGATGAAGTATAAGCCATTATCTCTGATTTGATATGTACCTGAGATTTAATTAGGTATGGTAGGTGACAGACATGGAGACAACTGCCTTTAAAAGAAATGTAGAAATGTTTATTACTAATAATTCCCTCCCATCCCACACACACAGGGCCATATGATGCGAGACCACGTGGGTAAACACCAGGTTTGGTCAGGAGGCAAAAGAGCCCAAAGCCCTTGTTGGGGCTTCTGTGTGGAGGAATGGGCAAGGCAGGGTAGGTAAGTTTGAGCAAGTTTTGAATTGAATAATTTGAATACTTTCCACATGCTCTGGACTATAGGGGTGGTTTCTAGTTGTGAGGTACCTGGCCCTGGAGTGATTTAGGGCAGAAGAAATATTGGCTTTGTGTATGTGTGAGTAAGATAAAGGAGGTGAAGGGCACATGGGCTTTGGATTGACTGGTTTGCATATCAGAAGCATTCACTGGGACATGCTGATTTTTATATCTAAGAATTAGCTGGCTCCAGGAGGAGCAGTCTTGAGGATTAGTAAGGCCCCCAAGATGTTAAAGTATCATAAAATACAGAAAATTTTAAAAATAACATGATTAATACCATCTCCAACAATATTCTGAGTATAGCCTAAAAAATTATTCATGATCTCATCTAACCTCATTCCTATTGTTTCCTTCAATACACTCGGTACACCAGGCAGCTCTGACAAATTTCCAACCATTCCTCCACCCTACACTCCACTGACTGCTTCTGCACCTTGAAAGTTGTGGTTTCTTTTGCCAGAATGCCTTCCTACCACATGGGGCAGATGTCTTTTTTCTATAAAAGGGATAAACTTGACATACAAAGTTATTGTGTATCATGTGCCTTCCTGAAGTCTACAGACACTTATTTTCCTGCTCCACCAAATAACCCTCTCAAAGCAGTGAGATTAGTCTGATAGGAATTGTTTTTGGTGAGCCAATGAAAGTTACTAGAGTCAGAGATCTTCTTTTTTTTTAATAGAAAAAAAAATGGGGAAAGAGCTCACACATTTTTCAAGCATAGAGGCATGTTTTCTCCTCCTATGTAAAACCTCTCATAGCACACAAAATGCTGATCTTGCCACTCCCAGCAGGGTCTCCACTCTGGCCTGCTTCCCACCATCTGGTATGAAAATTTTCTCAAGACCTATTGCAGTAGCTGTTTTCAAAAAAATTTCATTTCTCCCGATAAACTACCTCCTCCTTGGGACTAGAACCCATGCTTTAGTCTTATCTCTTGTCCCCAGTGCCTTTCAGAGTATCTAGAACACAGTAATTCTAGAAAGATATGCAGTTCTTGGGACAAGTGATGAGCATTAGAAAGACTGGTTTTGAATCATGGCTCTGCCACTTTTAATATTATGCCCTTGAACAATGTATGTACAATCATTTTTATGTCTCAGGTAACTCATCTGTAAAATAAGAACCATAATTACAAGATTATTTTGAAGTCTAAATGAGATGACACTTAAATCACTTAGCAGGGTATCTGGCACATAATACATGCTCAATAAATATTACTATGGGGAAAGCTGACAAGTTGTTTTAGCCAGTGTGACACCTTGGTTAAAATTGCCACATTAACCAAAGTTGTCACATTAGCTAATATGATAATTTTCTTGTCACTTCAAAATTAAGTAATGAGTCGAGAACTGAGAATGCATATGTTTCTTGCAAAATATACCTCTCTGGACACTCAGGATAAGTAAAATCCATTTGTAAAGGCATGTAGTAATAAGTAAATTGATAATCAAAGATTATGCTTCTCTAAAGCGCCATTGGTGTAGGGGAAAAACCATGAATTCTATAATGAGATTGCCTTGGGTTCAAATCCTAATTTCACTTACTTCTGAATTTACTTTGGGCAAGTTAATGCTGGTCTAGATATATTTTCTTGTCTGGAATATGAACTGTAATACGTACTTCAAAGAATTATTTAACAAAGAAAATTCCCAGGGGGGCATTTTGCAAAGAATAGATTCCCAATATATAACAGTTATTATCATTATTTTTAAATCATTTCCTTCTTCTGCACTGAGCAACAAAATAAAGTAAGCCACTTTTTTTTTTATTAATTGCCTTTTCAGAGACCTTCAAAACTATCAACTCCTGAGGTGTTTAAGGAATCAAATACACTGGGAACCCTGAACAGGTATAAATCACCTGGATCCACCATGTGATCCTCTGTTGTTTGTGACTGTGACAGTTGCAGATAAGTGTTCTGGTACTGAGTGGAAATAACACAATGCTTCTGTACTCATATTCAAGGTTGGCTGTAAATATAAGAGACATAGCAAACAATTGAGCCAGTGCTTGGAAACATTTATTGACCTCACATATATAAAGTACTTACTAGTGACAAAATGTGAATCTCTCAGCATTATCCTACTGGTTTGGGGTTAGGTGTTATAACCAAAAAGAGGGGGACCCATGGAGCCCAACAGCAACTGCTAACCTAACATCAAGTATGAAAGAAGGTGGCTTACTGTTAAGTATTACATCCTCTGAGAAAGACAACACCACTTACCAATTGTGTAATAACTAGCTACTTATTAAACCTCAATTTGGTCTTGTGTAAAATTATTGCTGTTAATCTTGAAACATAGCTATGATGGGTGTTGCGAGGAATAAATAAATATAACATGTGAAACACTAAGCACAGTACTAGATTTAGAGTGAAGTGTTCTTAAATGATAGTTATTGCTTTTATAAATGATCCAATCCCTGAATCATCATTAGAGAGAATATTAGAATCAGAAGATGTTGAGTCCAGCAGTTTTCAAATTTTTTCTTCAAGAAACCCCTTGGAGTTCCCTTGGATCCATGTTTTCAAAGATGTTGCCTCATCCAAAAAATTGCTCTAATTTTGTATGAAGTAATCAATTTAAGACAAACAGCCCATATGGCCACAGAATGAAACTACAAATCAAAATGATTTAACATTAAAATGATACATGTTTTCCAACAAATGCAGATGGAAAAAGAGCATTTTCTAATGAAGGGAAAATAACAGAAGTTAAACTAATGAGACGTAATATAAGATAACAAGCAGAGCTACAAGACAACAGTGAAGTAGGAAAGGGACATAAGAATTTCAGGGAAGTAGGTTGCAATATGGTGATCAGGGAACAACTTTAGAAGCCGTTAAGAACTGAGAAATGTGAGGGAACTGGCTATAAAGACTCCTAAGGGGAAGAGCATTGCAACAACAGCGTGGAGTGAAGGCAAGGCATTGCTCATACCATGGTATTCTAGAAACTGAATTCTAGAATCATACTATGTTATTCTAGAAACTGAATTCTAGATCATACCATGTTATTCTAGAAACCCTTTGGAATGGATTGAACAAAGAGGAAAAGAGTAGGAGACACAAGCAAGTGAGTAAAGAGGGCAAAAGCACAAAGATCTTGCACATCTTTGTAAGAGTCTAACTTTTACTCTGAATAAGTGGAAAAGTCATTGGATGGAGTTCTTAGAAGAGAAAACTAACATGATCTAACTGGCATTTTAACAGGACCATTTTGGCTGCCATGTGGAAAGACTCAAGTGGGATAAGAATAAAAGCAGGAAGACCAATTAGAGGCCAATCATGGCCCCATGTAGAGTGAAAACATTGGAGCTGGGAGAAACTAGTCATGTTCTAGATGCATTTTGAAGGTAGAATCTAGGAGATGTTGCTAATTAATAAGCGACAGAGTGTAAGAAAGAGAGTGGTCAAGAATAATATAAAACGACTCTCCCTAACATGGAATAATGCCATTTACTGCAGTGGAGAAGACTGAATGAGGATCAGGTTAGGGAGGATTGTTAGTAAAATTTTTTTCTTAATGATAACACTTAAGCAAATAATATAGCTCTTAGAATACAATGATAAAACAGTATTCCCTGTGAACTCAATTTTCTTAAGATGCCCAGGAGACATTAGGGAAGAAATATTAATTGGGCATTGGAATCCATGAGTCTCACTTCAGGGAGGAGGCATAGTCAGGGGAGGTAACATTGGAGTCATGTGCATATGGAAGCATTTAAAGTCATCAGATTGGATGAGATTACCAGAAACTGATGGCAGATGGAGAAGACCAGTGGTTCAAGCGCTGATTCTGGGGACACTCCAAAGTTCAAAAGTCTGTTCTGTAGCACTGAGACACATGCAGCAAGAGAAGTAGAAGCAAACCAGACAGGTATGACAACCTGAAAACCAAGTAAAGATTTTCCAGCAGAGAAGGAGTGAGAAACTATGACAAACGCTGCAGGTAGATCTAATCAGAAGAGAACTTCATCATTCGGTTTAATCATGTGAGATCATTGCAACTTGAATGGAGTAGAGGTAGCAAAAGCTCAAGTGGAACAATCTTATATTGTTCTATATTTACTCAGAAATAACACTGTTTACTAACATTGATGTTTATTAATGCTAATATTGAGAGTTGAGTGTGAACTGAGTGTTTTTCCTAGGTCCCAAGAGGAAGATCATACAAATACAAATCATGTACACTTGAATTTTAACTTATTTACCTACAAAATGACTTAGGTTAATGAGAAGTTAGTCTGTCAAGAATTGTCTTTACAGTGTAAGACAGATGTATGCTAGATATATTTCGCTCTACCCATTTCAATAGAACATTTGTAGTTCTATATGAAGAGAATCCTGAAGAGAGTGGGTAGATTTTCAAGTCATCATAAGAAATACTGTAGTATAAATAAATTACATTTAAAACTGGTGTTTCAATTATTGTTATTATTGTGTTTATTATAGAATATGTGTAAAATATAGTAAATACTGTGTACTTCGTAATTTCATCATTGTATATCATTCTTCTGTACACATTTTCCCCAAAACATTGTATCTATTATCTTTTCCCTTTATACTTTTCTTAGTATTTTCTTAGGCCTATATATAATATTATGAGATATGAATTTATAATGCTTTCATAATGTTTCAATGCATAGAAACTAGAGGAAAAATACTTTATTCTTTTTAAACTATATTTAAAAGAGGGATGCCCAGTATTTTAAAGACAAACAAGTGATACTTAAAAATAGAAATGTACACATTTAGCAAAAGAGAAAATTGACAAAAGGAAGAGGATCAAAGTATAAGAAAAATAGCAATTATAAGTACATCTTTTCTTCACTTGAACAGTCATTCCTAAAGGAAAAACATAATTAAACAACTTAAGAAATTTAGAATTGAATACATAATTGCAAAGCCTGATTGTTGCAAAATGAAGACTTTCTAAAACAAACAATTAGATTGTTGGTTCTAGACTTCACGAAACACTGCAAATGTGATCTTATGTAACATAATTCTACATATTCATGACAGTAATGCAAACTGAGCTCATTTTCTTTCCCCATAGGTGAGATTCCTTACAGCCATGCAGAGGAGCAATCATACAGTGACTGAGTTTATACTGCTGGGCTTCACCACAGACCCAGGAATGCAGCTGGGCCTCTTCGTGGTGTTCCTGGGCGTGTACTCTCTCACTGTGGTAGGAAATAGCACCCTCATCGTGTTGATCTGTAATGACTCCCGCCTCCACACACCCATGTATTTTTTCATTGGAAATCTGTCGTTTCTGGATCTCTGGTATTCTTCTGTCTACACCCCAAAGATCCTAGTGACCTGCATCTCTGAAGACAAAAGCATCTCCTTTGCTGGCTGCCTGGGTCAGTTCTTCTTCTCTGCAGGGCTGGCCTATAGTGAGTGCTACCTGCTGGCTGCCGTGGCTTATGACCGCTACGTGGCCATCTCCAAGCCCCTGCTTTATGCTCAGGCCATGTCCATAAAGCTGTGTGCATTGCTGGTAGCAGTCTCATATTGTGGTGGCTTTATTAACTCTTCAATCATCACCAAGAAAACGTTTTCCTTTAACTTCTGCCGTGAAAACATCATTGATGACTTTTTCTGTGATTTGCTTCCCTTGGTGGAGCTGGCCTGTGGCGAGAAGGGCGGCTATAAAATTATGATGTACTTCCTGCTGGCCTCCAATGTCATCTGCCCCGCGGTGCTCATCCTGGCCTCCTACCTCTTTATCATCACCAGTGTCTTGAGGATCTCCTCCTCCCAGGGCCGCCTCAAAGCCTTCTCCACATGCTCCTCCCACCTGACCTCTGTCACTTTATACTATGGCTCCATTCTCTACATCTACGCTCTCCCCAGATCTAGCTATTCTTTTGATATGGACAAAATAGTTTCTACATTTTACACTGTGGTATTCCCCATGTTGAATCTCATGATCTACAGCCTAAGGAATAAGGATGTGAAAGAGGCTCTGAAAAAACTTCTCCCATAAATCAAGATTATCTCCACCAGAGGAGAAACAAAGACGACCTTAGATGGAGTGTTGTGTATTTCAAACAGAGTTACCATTGTGCTTTATCGTGATCAGTCCCCTTCTTGACACGTGAGAGTTACAGACATGTACAATAAGAAAATTAGGAAAATTTCGGACAAAAACATCTGAATATATAAGAATTTGAATTGAATTTCCTATCTCTCTTATTAAAAACAAACATAAACCTTAAGCCCAAAACCTCTCCTATACCTTCATAAAGTGAGGAACAGCCTACCTCATTAGCCTAAGATTTGGCTAACTGATACATATAGAAAAGTATCTATATAGTTCCTAGAACTAGGAAGAATTGTGCTCAATTTTTAATATTTTCCTATGTTTAACTGGATGAAATTCATCACTTTCCATTCCCTGAACAGAATATCTTAAACATTGTTCTACATGCTTTCCCCCCACAAGAAGAATTAGCACAAAGATCCAGAGGCACCCAAGAAATAACTCAGTACAAATGAGACCCAGAAAGGCATGACCTTGCTATGCCTCTTACATAAGTTTCTTGATGAAGAAAAAATTCATCAAGATGCCATATATATGATTTTTGTAATTCACTGTATAACTCCCAGAGCTCCTCTTTATTTTACAGGGGTGAACTTACAAGGACTTTTACATTAAAATTGTGACCTTCTGAGCATCAAAGGGCAATTATCATCATTTAAAAAATAATTATTATTTTGGCTAAGTGAAACAATATCAAAAATAAAAGTCTATGAGTACACATTGATCAACAGATATTTTATTTTTATTTTTTAATAGATATTTTATAGAGAGAATATGTATGTACAGGTGTGATTCAACAAAAGGATATTTCACTTAGCATAATGTCTTCTAGGTTTATTCACGTTGTTGTAGGTGACAGAATTACATTTCTTGTAAGGCTGATTATTATTCCATTGTGTACTATATGCCACTTTTTCTTTTATCGATTTATCTGTTGATGGGCACTTACGTTGTTTCTAATTGTTAGCTATTGTGAATAATACTGCAATGAACATGAAAGCACAGATATCTCCTCAACATACCTATATCAATTCCTGTAAGCATCTACCCAGAAGTGGAATTGTTAGATCATATGGTAATTCTATTTTTAGTTTTTGGAGAGACCTCTATATTGTTTTCCAAAATGGCTGTGCTAATGTACATTCCCATCAATGGAGTATAAGAGTTCCCTTTACTCCACATCCTGGCCAATGCTTGATAATTTTCATCTTTTTGATAATGACCATTGTAATATAATGCATAATGTATAATATACGAAGTGATATTTCATTATGATAAGTGAAATAAGCCAGGCACAGAAGAAAACATATTGAATCATCCCACTTATGAGTGGGTTCTAAAAGTTAGAACTCCTACAAGTAGAGAATACAATAGTAGTTGCCAGTGACTGGGGCAGGGTGGGTGGAGAAAGGAGAAGTGTTGATCAAAGGGTACAAAGTTTCATGTAGACAGGAGGAATAAGTTCTGGTGAACTATTGCAGGACAAGGTGACTACAGTTAACAGTAATGTATTGTGTATTTCAAAATCATTTAAAAAGTGGATCTTACATGTTCTCACCACAAAGCAGTGGTAAGTATATGAGGTGATGGACATAATAATTAGTCGAAGATGTTCAATCTACAATGTATACATGTACTGAAGCATTGTCTTTTACCCCATACATATATAAAATTATGGTTTATCAATATGAATAAAATTTAAAAAACAAAAAGATGAATATGACAAGTGGCATTTAATTTTGATTAGTTTTTCAATGTAAGACAGTACTAATGTAATTTATGTTTATAAACACAAATACTTCCTTATTTGAATTGGTATAAGCAGTAGAGAAAGAAAATGCAAGAAACTGAATTAGGCAAGTAGGCCCAGAAAATGTAGGAGTTTCACACAGAGTAGAAAGATTAAATTCACATTGGCAATCATGGACACTAACACAGTAAGTGGGTGCAAGGAATAAAATCAATACAGGTTGTAACACACAGTAATGCAGCCGAAACAGAGTTCAACAGTGTAATTCTAAGATGCCCGACCTAGGTAATGTTCTGAAAAGGAACAGTATTTATGCCAACTCAGTCTTCTGGTTTTCTAAAATACGTGTTCTATTTCCCACTAATGATATTAAAATTCCTATAAAATACATTCTTTTGAAGTAATCTTAACTGACTCAATTATTATATTACAGTGGCAGTAAATCAATTATGTTATGTTGCTTGACTGAAACTAGGAAACACATCATTCCAGAGGGAAGCATCAATTACAGAAAGCAAAACTGATGTGACTCATCTATTTTTAAAACACCGTGGTATCACAAACCCTGACATGTAACTATAGAAGAAAGTCTCAAACTACTTGAGGACTTCTATTCTAATATTTTTAGGGGAGGCTCCCAAAATTCATTCTTCAAATAAGAATAAGAATATGCCCATATATTATAAACGTGGCTGGCCTATGTACATATTCACATTATTTGATGCTGGAAGTTAGCTCTAGAATCATGTCTAAGAAATATTACAGAGACCTTAGTGAAAAGATAAAGCACAGCTAATAATAATCTTAGGAAGACATAAAAATAAATAAGAACATAAAATATAATTAAGCATGTGGCATTGATGATTTATAACATAATTTAGAAATAAGTTTTAGTGTAAATCTAGCAGTCAGTTTTCCACTCACTTTTGGAAATGTTTCATCTGCAACTTATAGATTCGAAGAATTCAGAAAAATCTTTCATATTAATTTGAAATTAAAATACAAATTCCTAAGGGAATTTGATACTGAATTCAAAAATGAAGTTTAGATTCTTGAGGTAAAGTGGTTTGTAAGATTTTTCCTCTAGATATATAAGTTTTAATAAATAAAACATTTCTAAAAGTACAAAAGTGTATGGACTCTTCCTTACAAAAAAAAATCTCTTAAACTTAATGTTCTTTGAAAAATGCACAGCTCTTAGTGGTTGCATTAGTCTGGATTCTTCAGAGAAGTAGAAGCAATAGAATGTGTGCAAATTTTGTGCGCATGTGTGTATGTGTTTGTGTATACATATAAGGCATATATGTGGCACATGTGTGTGTGTGTGCATATGTGTGTGTGTGTGTGTATACACACACAGAGAGATTAATTTTGAAGCCTGTGAAGTCTAAATCTGCAGTGTGGCCAAGGATACTTGAGACCAACGAGAGCTGTTGGTGCACTTTCAGGCTGGCAGCTTAGAGGCCAAGGAGGTCAATGGTGCAGATTAAATCCAGGAGCAGAGTGCCAGAGAATTCCCTCTTGCTTAGAGAAGTCCATTTTTCTTCTTCTTTTTTCTATTTTGGCCATTAACTGATTGGTTTTCTTATTTAAAATTCCCTTGTTAGTAGTTTTTCAACATGTTATACTGAAGGTTTTCGTAGCGTGCATCTCCCACTTGGAAAGACTAAATAGTGCAGAGACATACTCTGAGCTTTTTTCCAAGAAGCAACACAGGAACTTAACAGAAAAAATGAAAGAAACTACAGACCCTTTAAAAGAAGTGGTGGCTGCAGCCTATACCATGAGCCAGGTGGAAAACTGTGAGTCTTCAGCACAAGGGTGGCAGGAACTGCATCAGGTGTATACACTCCCACTGGGGATCCTGGAAATCCAGGCCACGGAGGAAGGCCCTAACCCTACCCAGCACTGGAGCTGACATACTGAGCAGTGAGGAGTATATGAGAAGGAACAGCATCAGGACATGCTTTGCATGCCCTCCCAGTCACCAGTGGGGATGGCGGAAGCCATTCCTGATCCTATGGCACAGAGGACTTTGCAGAAGTCAGCCAGCTAACTCACATGGCACTCACTGGTTAAGAGAAGCTCCCAATTGAGATTTGTGATATAATCCTGAGTGGGGATAAAACTCCTTGTCCAGAACTGAGGCAGAAGTAGAAAGTTTGCTAAAGCCTTGGGCACAGGAGCTGGGTGTCCCTGCTTCATGGGATGAATGGGTAGGACATGGCTTGAAATCCGGGGTTTGTCTCCCTCAGGAAGGTAAATGGCCTGGGGTCATTTTGAGTTCTGAGCACAGGCTGCCTGTAAACCAGGTAGCTGCTGCAGATGGAGTACTGCAGGTGTGAGGCCTGTCTTGCCACATGTGTGGGAGCTGCATGGGGCTTACTGCTGCCTGCTACTCCCCACTCCCCATGTGGACTCTTCCATTCAGCAGAAGCAGCTGTACTCCTCACTGAAGCATCACCCTAGTGGCCATGGAACTGCCATCCAATCCTCATTGGGGTGGCTGCTTGTGCCCACACATGGGCAGCCAGAGTGCAGACTTGCCCAACCCAGCCCTCATACAGCTTCGCCTTCTAACCAACCTCATAACCGAACACAAAGAACAGAGGCTTTTGGGATCTCTATGGCCATGCCCATTGTCTGAAAGACCAGAGTACCTTCTCTGGGTAACATAAGGCAAGCACAAATCCCACAGCTATCACCGCAGCTGGTGCACAACCTCCTATGTGGAGGCCAATCAACACAGTACATTATGGCATCTGCAGGCAGAGCAACACAGTACCCAGGAAGGATAAAAATTTGTGTAACCTCAGCTACCAATATTGCCTGCATCACCCTGGCTAACCAGGAGGTCTTCCATCTGCCCATGTGACCTGTTCATTTTTACTACAACTTTCTGAGAAAGCCAACACACTAAGGCTATTTATAACCAAGTGAATCTTACAGAGTCTACATCACTTCCCTACCACCCCATCAGATCTTGTGCTGATACCTGCTATTGGGAGACTTGAAGGCTGGTCACATTGCTGGATAACTTGTAGACATTCCCCAGGACCAGCCTGGAGTTCTGGGGAATCTTGGGGATTCTGGGGATCCCAATCTTGGGAGCTCTGGGGAATCACTTGCAGACATTCCTTAGAGCACCCCCACTGGGTGTCTAAACCCAGAGAAGAAGCAGAATTCACAGTAGTCTGTCCCTGAGGGACTCCTACTTTTAGGGAAACAGGAAGTACACTACCTCAAGAGAGAAACCTGTGAGACAAAAGAATCCAGATGGCAGGCCTTGGGTCTCAGACTTTCTACTTGTGATAAATTTCAGCAGAGGGACGAGTGCAGTGCTTGGCTCAGTAGGGAAAGTCTGTAGCTCTACCTCAACAATCAGGCAGCCCTGGTGATTGTGAAGGGTCTGGAGAAGGATACCTCTTCTCCCTTTCACCTACCATTGTGGACACAGTTGGGGCTTCTCCCAAAGGAGCTCTGTGTGGGTGCACCTGTAGCATTTCTGGAACACTTCAGAGTAATTTCATCCCCACAGGAGGAGTGCCCTCCAGGTCAGACTTGACTGAGGGGGAGAGTCACAATCCCTCTCTGCATGCAACATCAGCATTCCTGCAGATGAAAAGAGGTGCTGGTCTGATCTGAATAACTGGAACAATAGGTACAGTGTGTGACTCACGTGACTGGGAGGTGGATCAATTTCCTGCTGGCCTGATAGGGGAGCTGAGGTGGCTTCCTCTCTACCCTCTCTAAAGACCTCACTGCATTTCACTGACGGCTCCCCCAGCTGCCTCTGTCAAAGCTGGGACCTCTGCCTATCATTGGTTATTGCATTTACTCCCACACTTAACTATAGCTGGTTTTTACCCATGAACACCTCCTGCTGGCCTGAAGCCTGAACTGTCTGATCCAGTGAATAAAATACTGGGGGAATAAATAAAGTGCATATTACTGGGGAACATGATAAGCTTCATGAGACCTCTGCCATTCTATCTCCACAGGAGACAGTGCACCTGCTCACACACTGAGAACATTGCTACTACAATCAGCATCTGAGAAAGCCACTATGCAAAGACTCTCTATAACCAAGGAAATTATGGAGTCTTCAACCCTTAAAACTTTCAGAGCTGAACTAAATTGCAATAAACTATAAACAGTAAAGTCACATCCTCAAGGGGTAAAAAAAACTTTAAAAAAAACATAGTCAAATCAAAAATAAATTTAAAAATAATCAGAAGAAATAGTCTACTCAAATGAGAAGAAACCAGAAAAATAATTCTGATAATGTGAAAAAACAGGGTTCTATAACACTTGCAAAAATCACACAAGCTCTCTAGCAATGGATCCAAATCAAGATGAAATTTTTGACATACCAGATAAAGAATCCAAAAAGTTGATTATTAAAGCTACTCAAGGATATACAAGAGAAAGGTGAAAGCCAGCATAAAGAAATTTTTAAAACAATTAAGGATACAAATGAAAAATTTTCTAAACAGGTAGGTAATTTCGAAGAAAACAATCAGAACTGTTGGAAATGAAAGACATTTAATGAATTACAAAATGCAGCAGAAATTTTTAACAATAGACTAGACAGAGTAGAAAGAAGAATTTCAGAAATTGAAGACAAGGATTTGAATTAACCCAGTCAGACAAAACTAAAAAAACAAGAAAAAAAAGAAATCAAAAAGTCCCTAAGAAATACGAGATTATATAAAACATCCAAACCTAAAAATAATTTGTGTTCCTGAATGAGAAGGAAAGGCAAGAAGTTTGGAAAATTTACTTAAGGGAATAATGGAGGAAAATTTCCCTGGCCTTGCAAGAGATTTAGACATCCAAATACAAGAAGTTCAAAGAACTCGTTGGGGATTCATTGCAAAATGGTCATCAAGGCACATTGTCATCATGCTATCTAAAATCAACAAAACGGAATGAATTCTAACAGTGGTGAGAAAAAAGCATCAAGTAACCAATGAAACAAACCTATCAGACTAACAGCAGACTTCACACTAGAAACCTTATATGCCAGAAGAGATTGGGGTCCTATCTATAGCCTCCATAAAAAGAATAATAGTCAGCCAAGAATTTTTTTTATTCAGCAAAACTAAGTTTCATAAATGACAGAGAAGTAAAGTCTTTCTCAGATAAACAAAGGCTGAGGAAATTTGTCACTGCTAGACTAGAAATGCTAAAAGGATTTCTAAATCTTGAAACAAAAGGTTGATATGCACCAGAATAGAACGTCTTAAAATTCACAGGTCCTTTAAAACAGTAACACAATAAAGAAAACAAAGTCACTAGATAGCAATCAACATGATAACTGGAACAGTACCTCACATCTCAATATTAACACTGAATAGCCGGGCTCAGTGGCTCAATGCCTGTAATCCCAGCACTTTGGGAGGCCGAGGCGGGTGGATCACGCGGTCAAGAGATCAAGACCATCCTGGCCAACATGGTGAAACCCCATCTTTATTAAAAATATAATAATTAGCTGGGTGTGGTGGCGGGTACCTGTATTCCCAGCTACTCAGGAAGCTGAGGCAGGAAAATCGCTTGAACCCGGGAGGCAGAGGTTGCAGTGAGCCAAGATCATGCCATTGCACTCCAGCTTGGGGGACAGAGTGAGATGCCATCTCAAAAATATATATATATATATGTATATATATATATATATACACACACACATACTGAATGTGAATATAGAATGGCAGAATAAATTTTAAAAATTCACAAACCAAATATCTACTGTTACTTTTAAACATGATCAAATTCCTGAATCATCATTAGAGTGAGAGAATATTAGAATCAGAAGATGTTGTGTCCAGCAGTTTTCAAATTTTTCTTCAGGAAATCCCTTGGAGTTCCACTGGATCCATGTTTTCAAAGATTTTGCATCATCCAAAAACATTGTTCCTATTTTGTATGAGGTAATCAATTTAAAACAAACAGCCCACATCACCACAGAATAAAACTACAAATCAATAGTATTTAACATTAACATGATACATGTTTTCCATCAAATGCAGATGGAAAGACCATTTTCTAGTGAAGGGAGAAGAAAAGAAGCTAAACTAATGAGATGTAATATGAGCAGAACCACAAGAGGACAATGAAGTAGGAGAGGGACATAAGAATTTCAGGGAAGTGGATTGCAATATGGTAATCAGGGAACATCTTTAGGGGGTAATAATAGAAGCCATTAAGAACTGAGAAATGTGAGGGAACTGGCTATAAAGACTTCTAAGGGGAAGAGCATTGCAACAATGGGTGGAACGAAGACAAAGCATTGATCATTCCATGTTTATTCTAAAAATTCAAAGGCAGATAGCATGCCTGGAATGGATTGAAAAGAGCAGAAAGACTAGGAGATGGGAAAAAACAGGTAATGAGGGCACGAGCACAGAGATCTTGCACATCTTTGTAAGGAACTTGAATTTTACTCTGAATAAGTGGAAAAGCCATTGGACTTCTTAGAACAGAAAACTAACATGATCTAACTGGCATTTTAACAGGACCATTCCGCCATGTGGAAAAACTCAAGTGGGATAAGAATAGAAGCAGGAAGACCAATTAGAGGCTAATCATGGCCTCATATATAGAGTGAAAACATTGGAGCTGGGAAAAACTAGTCTGGTTCTAGGTATATTTCAAAGAATCAAGGAGATATTGCAAATTAAAAAGCAACAGTGTGAAAACAAGAGAATGGTCAAGAATAACATAAAATTCCTAACAAGGAATAATGCCATTTACTGCCGTGGAGAAGACTGAATGAGGATAGGGTTAAAAGGATTATTAATAAAAATTTCTTCATAGTGACAACGCATGAGTAAATAATGTAGCTTTTAGAATACAATGATAAAACAGTATTCCCTGTGAACTCAATTTTCTTAAGATGCCCAGGAGACATTACAAAATATATATATATATTAATTAGACATTTGAATCCATGAGTCTCACTTCAGGGAGGAGGCATAGTTAGGGGAGGTAACATTGGAGTCATGTGCATATAGAAGCATTTAAAGTCATGAGATTGGATGAGATTACCAGAAACTGATGGCAGATGGAGAAGACAAGAGTTTCAATCGCTGATTCTGGGGACACTCCAAAATTCAAAAGTCGGTTCTGTAGCACTGAGACACATGCAGCAAGAGAAGTGGAAGCAAACCAGACAGGTATGACAACCTGAAAACCAAGTAAAGATTTTCCAGCAGAGAAGGAGCAAGAAACTATGACAAATGCTGCAGGGAGATCTAATCAGATGAGAACTTCATCGTTGGGTTTAGCCATGTGAGATCACTGAAACCTGAGTGAAGTAGAGGCAGCAAAAGCTCAAGTGGAACAATCTTATATTGTTCTATGTTTACTCAGAAATAACACTGTTTGTTGATATTGATATTTATTAATGCTAATATTGAAAGTTGAGTGTGAACTGAGTGTTTTTCCTAGGTCCCAAGAGGATGAGCATACAAATAAATATCATGTACACTAGAATTTTAATTTATTTACCTACAAAATGACTTAGGTTAATGAGAAATTAGTGTGTCAAGAATTGTCTTTACAGTGTAAGACAGATGTACGTTTGCTAGATATATTTCTCTCAACCCATTTCTCTAGTAACATTTGTAGTTCTGTATGAAGAGAATCTTGAAGAGAGTGGGTGGAGTGATACTGTACTATACATAAATTACATTTAAAATTGGTGTTTAAGTTATTATTATTGTATTTATTATAAAATATATGTAAAATATAGTAAATACTGTGTACTTTGTAATTTCATCATTGCATATCATTCTTCTGTACACATTTTCCCCATAACTTTGTATCTATTCTCCTTTTCCATTACACTTCTCTTAGTATATTCTTAGGCCTATATATAATATCATGAGATATGAATTTATAATGCTTTCATAATGTTTCAATGCATAGAAGCACTCGAGAAAAAAGACTTTATTCTTTTTGAACTATATTTAAAAGAGGGATGCCCAGTATTTTAAAGACAAACGAGTGATATTTAAAAATAGAAATTTACACATTTAGCAAAAGAGAAAATTGACAAGAAGAAGAGGATCAAAGTATTGGAAAAATAGAAATTATGAATACATCTTTTCTTTCCTTGAACAGTCATTCCTAAAGGAAAAACATAATTAAACAACTTAAGAAATTTAGAATTGAATACATAATTGCAAAGTCGGTTGCAAAATGAAAACTTTCTAAAACAAACAATTAGATTGTTGGTTCTAGACTTCAAAGATTACTGCAAATGTGATCTTATGTAGCATAATTCTACATATTCATGACTGTGATTCAGACTGAGCTCATTTCCTTTCCCCATAGGTGAGATTCCTTACAGCCATGCAGAGGAGCAATCACACAGTGACTGAGTTTATACTGCTGGGCTTCACCACAGACCCAGGGATGCAGCTGGGCCTCTTCGTGGTGTTCCTGGGCGTGTACTCTCTCACTGTGGTAGGAAATAGCACCCTCATCGTGTTGATCTGTAATGACTCCCACCTCCACACACCCATGTATTTTGTCGTTGGAAATCTGTCGTTTCTGGATCTCTGGTATTCTTCTGTCTACACCCCAAAGATCCTAGTGATCTGCATCTCTGAAGACAAAAGCATCTCCTTTGCTGGCTGCCTGTGTCAGTTCTTCTTCTCTGCAGGGCTGGCCTATAGTGAGTGCTGCTTACTGGCTGCCATGGCTTATGACCGCTACGTGGCCATCTCCAAGCCCCTGCTTTATGCCCAGGCCATGTCCATAAAGCTGTGTGCATTGCTGGTAGCAGTCTCATATTGTGGTGGCTTTATTAACTCTTCAATCATCACCAAGAAAACGTTTTCCTTTAACTTCTGCTGTGAAAACATCATTGATGACTTTTTCTGTGATTTACTTCCCTTGGTGAAGCTGGCCTGTGGCGAGAAGGGCGGCTATAAGTTTCTGATGTACTTCCTGCTGGCCTCCAATGTCATCTGCCCCGCGGTGCTCATCCTGGCCTCCTACCTCTTTATCATCACCAGTGTCTTGAGGATCTCCTCCTCCCAGGGCCGCCTCAAAGCCTTCTCCACATGCTCCTCCCACCTGACCTCTGTCACTTTATACTATGGCTCCATTCTCTACATCTATGCTCTCCCTAGATCTAGCTATTCTTTTGATATGGACAAAATAGTTTCTACATTTTATACTGAGGTACTCCCCATGTTGAATCCCATGATCTACAGCCTAAGGAATAAGGATGTGAAAGAGGCTCTGAAAAAACTTCTCCCATAAATCAAGATTATCTCCACCAGAGGAGAAACAAAGACTATTTTAGATGCAGTTTTTTGTATTTCAAACAGAGTTACCATTGTGCTTTATCACAATCAATCCTCCTCTTGACACATGACAGTTACAGACACATACAATAAGAAAATTAGGAAAATTTAGAAGAAAAACTTCTGAATATATAAGAATTGAAGTGTATTTCCTGTCTCTTTTATTAAAAGCAAACATAAAACTTAAGCCCAAAACCTCTCCTGTACCTTCATAAAGTGATGAACAGCCTACCTCATTAGCTGAAGATTTGCCTAACAGATATGTGTAGAATAGTATCTATGTTGTTCCTAGAACTAGGAAGAATTGTGATCAGTCCAGTTTTAATATTTTCCTATGTTTAATAACTAGATGACATTCATCACTTTCCATTCCCTTAACAGAATATCTTAAGGATTATTATACCTTACTTTCCTCCCAAGAAGTATTAGCGCAAAGATCTAGAGGCACCCAAGAAATAACTCAATACAAACGAGACCCAGAAAGGTATGATCTTGCTAAGTTGTATGTCTCTTATACACGTTTCTTGATTAAGAAAAAATTCATTAAGATCCTATACATATGATTTTTGTAATTCACTGTATAACTCTCAGAGCTCCTCTTTATTTTACAGGGGTGAACTTACAAGGACTTTTACATTAAAATTGTGACCTTCTGAGCATCAAAGAGCAATTATTGTCATTTAAAAAATAATAATAATTTTGGTGAAGTGAAACAATTTAAAAAATAAAAGTCTGTGAGTACACATTGCTCAATAAATATTTTATTGTATTTATTTTAATAGATATTTTATAGAGAGAATATGTACATACAGGGGTGATTCCACAAAAGGAATTTCACTTAGCATAATGTCTCCTAGGTTCATTCACGTTGTTGCAGGTGACAGAATTACATTTCTTGTAAGACTGAATAGTATTCCATTGTGCATTATATGCCACTTTTTTTCTTTGATTCATTTATCTGTTGATGGGCATTTAGGTTTTTTCTAAGTCTTAGCTATTGTGAATAATACTGCAATGAACAAGAGAGCACAGGTATCTCCTCAACATACTGATTTCAATTCCTTTATAAGCATCTACCCAGAGGTGGAATTTTTGGATCATGTGGTAATTCGATTTTTCTATTTTTAGTTTTGGTAGAAACCTCTATACTGTTTTTAAAAATGGCTGTGCTAATTTACACTCCCATCAACAGTGTATAAGAGTTCTCTTTTCTCCACATCCTGGCCAATGCTTGTTAACTTTCATCTTTTTGAGAATGATCATTCTAATATAATGTATATGAGGTGGTATCTCATTGTAATAAGTGAAGTAAGCCTGGCACAGAAGAAAATATCTGTGTCATCCCACTTATGTGTGAGATCTAAAAGTTAGAACTCCTACAAGTAGAGAGTACAATAGTAGTTACCAGTGACTGGGCAGGGTGGGTGGAGAAAGGAGAAATGTTGATCAGAGGGTACAAAGTTTCATGTAGGCAGGAGGAATAAGTTCTGGTGAACTACTGCAGAACAAGGTGACTACAGTTAATGGTAATGTATTGTGTATTTCAAAATTACTTGAAAATGGATCTTAAATGTTCTCATCACAAAGCAATGATAAGTGTATGAGGTGATGGGCATAATAATTAGTCGGAGATGTTCAATTCGCACTGTATACATGTACTGAAGCATTGCATTTTACCCCATACATGTTATCAATACAAATATAATTTTAAAAAGATGAATATGACAAGTGGCATTTAATTTTCATTAGTTTTTCAATGTAAGATAGTACTAATGTAATTTATGCTTATAAACACAAATTCTCTCTGGTTTGAATTGGCACAAGCAGTAAAGGGAGAAAATGCAAGAAACTGAATTAGGCAGGTAGACCCAGAAAATGTACAAGATTCACACAGAGTAGAAAGAGTAAATCCACACTGGCAATCATGGACATTAACAAAGTAAGTGGGTGCAAGAAATAAAATCAATGCAAGTTGCAACACACAGTAACACAGCCGAAACAGAGTCCAACAGTGTAATTCCAAGATGCTCGTGTCAGCCGTTCTAAAAAGGAACGCTATATATGCCAACTCAGTCTTCTGGTTTTCTAAAATACATGTTCTATTTCCCACTAATGATATTAAAATTCCTATAAAACACATTCTTCATTTTTTAAAGTAATGTTAACAGACTCAATTAGTATATTGCAGTGGCAGTAAATCAATTATTTTATGTTTCTTGACCGAAACTAGAAAGTACATCATTCCAGAGGGAAGCATCAATTGCAGAAAGTAAAACTGATGTGACACATCTAATCTTAAAACACCGTGGTATCATAAACCCTGACATGTAACTATAGAAGAGAGTCTCAAACTACTTGACGGCTTCTATTCTAATATTTTTATGGGAGCCTACCAGAATTCATTCTTCAAATAAGAATAAGAATATGCCCATATATCCATATATTGTAAACATAGCTCGCTAAGTGCATATTCATATTATTTTATACTTGGAAGTTAGCTCTAGAATTATGTCTAAGTAATATTACAGAGACCTTAGTAAAAAGATAAAGTACAGCTAATAATAATCTTAGGAAAACATAAAAATAAATAAGAACATAAAATAGAAGCATGCAGCATGTTTTATAACATAATTTAGAAATATGTTTAAGTGTAAATTTAGCAGTAAGTTTTGCATTCACTTTTGGAAATGTTTCATCTGCAACTTATTGATTTGAAGTATTCAGAAAAATCTTTCATATTAATTTGAAAGTAAAATACAAATTCCTACGGAAATTTAACTACTGAGGTCAAAAATGAATTTGAAATTCTTAAGGTAAAGTGATTTGTAAGATTTTTCTTGTTGATATGAGTTTTAATAAATAAAACATTTCTAAAAGTACAAAAGTATACTGTGGTCTCGTCCTTACAAAAGATCTCCTAAATTTAATGTTCTTTGAAAAATGCACAACTCTTAGTGGTTTCATTAGTCTGGATTCTTCAGAGAAGTAGAACCAATAGAATGTGTGCATATATGTGTGTGTGATATGTGTGTGTGTGTGTGTTTGTGTGTGTGTGTACAGATTAATTTTGAAGCCTGTCAAGGCTAAACCTGCAGTGTGGCCTAGGAGACTTGAGACCAAGGAATGCTGCTGGAGCACCTGCAGGCTGGCAGCTTAGAGACCCAAACAGTCAATGGTGCAGATTAAATCCGGGAGCAGAGTGCCGGAGAATACCCTCCTGCTTAGGAAGGTCTATTATTTTTCTTCTTTTTTCTGTTTTGGCCGTTAACTGATTGGTTTTCTCATATAAAATTACCTTGTTAGTAGTTTTTCAAGACGGTAGACTGAAGGTTTTGTTAGTGTGCTTCTTCCACTTGCAAAGACCAAATAGTGCAGAGACATGCTATGAGCCTTCTTCCAAGAAGCAACACAGGAACTTAACAGGAAAACTGAATGAAACCACAGGCCCTTTGAAGGAAGTGGTGGCTGCAGCCTACACCATAAGCCAGGTGGAAAACCGTGAGTCTCCAGCACGAGGGTGGCAGAAACTGCATCAGGTGTATGCACTCCCACTGGGAAACCTGGCAATCCAGGCCACGGAGGAAGGCCTTAAGCCTACCCAGGACTGGAGCTGACGTACTGAGCAGTGGGGAGTATATGAGAAGGAGCAGGATCAGGACATGCTTTGCATGCACTCCCAGTCACCGGGGGGACCTGGGAAGCCATTCCTGATCCTCTACAGCACAGAGGACTTTGCAGAAGTCAGCCAGCTAACTCACATGGCAGTCACTGGTTAAGAGAAGCTCCTGAGATTTGTGATATAATCCTGATTGAAGATGAAACCACTTGTCCAGAACTGAGGCACAAGTAGAAAGTTTGCTAAAGCCTTGGGCACAGGAGCTGGGTGTTCCTGCTTCATGGGACAAATGGGAAGGACATGGTCTGAAAGCTATGGTCTGTCTCCCTCAGGAATGGCCTTGTGTCATTTTGAGTTCTGAGTGCTGGCTGCCTGTAAACCAGGTACCTGCTGCAGGTGGAATACTGCAGGTATGAGACCTGTCTTGCCACGTATGTGGGAGCTGGTTGGGGCTTAATACTGCTTGCTACTCCCCACTCCCCATGTGGACTCATCTGTTCAGCAGGAGCAGGTGTACTCCTCACTGAAGCATCATCCTAGTGGCCATGGAACTGCCATCCAATCCTCACTGGGGTGACTACTTGTGCCCATACATGGGCAACCAGAGTGCAGACTTGTCTGACCTAGACCTTACCTAGCTTTGCCCCTCTACCCAGCCTCGTAACTGAATAAAAGAACACAGACTTTTGGTAGGTCTATGGCCATGCCCATTGTCTGAAAGACCAGAGTACCTTCTCTGGGTAACATAAGGCAAACACAAAGATCACTGCTACCACCGCAGCTGGTGCACAACCTTCTGTGTGGAGGCCAATCAACACAGTACATTATGGCATCTGCAGGCAGAGCAACACAGCACCCAGGAAGGATAAAACTTTTGTGTGACCTCAGCTATCAATATTGCCTGCATCACCCTGGCTAACCAGGAGGTCTTGTGTCTGCCCATGTGACCTGTTCATTAGTACTACAACTGGCATCTGAGAAAGCCAAAACACTAAAGTTATTTATAACCAAGCAGATCTTACAGAGTCTACATCAGTCTCCTACCATGCCATCAGATCTTGTGTTGATACCTGCTGCTGGGAGACTTGAAGACAGGTCACATTGCTGAATCACTTGCAGACATTCCCCAGAACCAGCCTGGTGTGTAGCAGCCACACTGGGTGTCTAAACCCAGAGAAGAAGCAGAATTCACAGTAGTCTGTCCCTGAGGGACTCTTACTCTTAGGGGAACAGGAAGTGCACCACATCAAGAGAGTACCCCATGAGACAAAGGAATCCAGATGGCAGGCCTTGGGTCTCAGACTTTCCACTTGTGGTAAATTTCAGCAGAGGGACAAGTGCAGTGCTTGCCTCAGTGGGGAAAGTCTGTAGCTCTACCTCAACAGTCAGGCAGCCCTGGTGCTTGTGAAGGGTCTGGAGACGGGTACTTCTTCTCCCTCTCACCTACAATTTTGGACACAGCTGGGGCTTCTCCCAAAGGAGCTCTGTGTGGGTGCAGCTGTAGCATTTCTGGAACACTTCAGGGTAATTTCATCCCCACAGGAGTGCCCTCCAGGTTCAGGCTGCCTGAGAGGTAGAGTCACAATCCCTCTCCACATGCAACATCAGCATTCCTGCAGATGAAAAGAGGTGCTGGTCTGATCTGAATAACCAGAACACTAGGTACAGTTTGTGACTCATGTGCCTTGGAGGAGGATCAGTTTCCTGCTGGCCTGGTAGGAGAGCTAAGGTGGCTTCCTCCCAACCCTCTGTAAAGACCTCACTGTGTTTCAGTGAGGGCTCCCTCAGCTGTCTCTGTCGGAGCGGGGACCTCTGCCTACCACTTGGTATTGCATTTACCCACTTGCTTTAGCTAGAGCTGGTTTTTACCCATGAACACCTCCTGCTGGCCTGAAGCCTGAATGGTTCAATTCAGTTAACAAAGTACTGGGAGAATAAATAAATAAATGCACATTACTGGGGAACAAGATAAGCTTCATGAGACCTCTGTCATTCCAGCCCCACAGGATACAGCGAACCTGCTCACACACCAAGAACATTGCTACCACAAACAGCATCTGAGAAAGCCACTGAACAAAGATTCTATAACCAAGGAATCATATACTCTTCAACCTTTAAAAGTTTCAGAGCTGAACTAAATTACAATAATAAACTATAAACAGTAAAGTCACATCCCCAAGGGCTTAAAAAAGAAACAAAAAATACAGCACAGTCAAATAAAAAATCAGTTTAAAAATAATTAGAACAAATAGTCTACCCAACTGAGAAGAAACCAGAAAAGTAATTCTGGTAATGTTTTTAAAAAAACACTCGCAAAAGATCACACAAGCTCTCTAGCGATGGATCCAAACCAAGATGAAATTTTTGACATACCAGATGAAGAATTCGAAAGGTTGATTATTAAGCTACTCAAGGATTTACATGAAAAAGGTAAAAACTAGTGTAAAATAATTTTTAAAACAAGAATACAACTGAAAAGTTTTCTAAACAGATAGATATTTTGAAGAAAAAACAATCAGAACTGTTGAAAATTGAAGACATATTTAAAGAATAACAAAATTCCACAGAAAATTTTAATAATAGACTAGACAGTGTAGAAAAAAGAATTTCAGAATTTGAAGACAAGGGTTTGAATTAACCCAATCATACAAAACTAAAGGAAAAAGAATAAAAAGAAATCAACAAAGTCTCCAAGAAATATAAGATTATGTAAAACATCCAAACCTAAAAATAATTTGTGTTCCTGATTGAGAAGGAAAGGCAAAAAGTTTGAAAACCTTTTTTGAGGGAATAATTGAGGAAAACTTCCCTGGCCTTGCAAGACATTTATGCAACCAAACACAAGAAGCTTAAAGGACTCCTGGGGAATTCACTGCAAAAAGGTCATCACCAAGGCATACGGTCATCATGCTATCTAAAGTCAACGTAAAGGAAAGAATTCTAACAGCAATAAGAAAAAATGCACCAAGTAACCTATAAAACAAACCTGTCAGACTAACAGCAGACTTCTCAGCAGAAACCTTACAAGCTAGGAGAGATTGGGGTCCTATCTTTAGCCTCCTTAAACCGAATAATGGTCAGCCAAGAATTTTTTATCCAGCAAAACTAAGTTTCATGAATGAAGGAGGAATAAAGTATTTCTCAAACAAAAAAAGGTTGAGGAGATTTGTCACTACCAGACTAGAAATGCTAAAAGGATTTCTAAATCTTGAAACAAAAGGTTGATATGCACCAGAATAGGACACCTTGAAAGCATAAAATTCACAGGTCCTTTAAAATAAGAACACAATGAAGAAAACAAAGTCTTAGGTAGCAACAAACATGATGACTGGAACAGTACCCCACATCTCAATATTAACACTGAATGTGAATACAGAATGGCATAATACATTTTTAAAAATCACAAACCAAACATCTGCTGTCTTCAAGAGACACACCTAACATGTAAGGATTCTTGCAGGTAAAGGGGTGAAAAAGATATTCCATGCAAATGGAAACCAAAAGCAAGCAAGCAAGAATAGCTATTCCTGTATCAGATAAAACAGACTTTAAAGCAACAACACTAAAAAAAAAGATGAACGAGGTCATTACATAACGATAAAAGGATCAATCCAAAAAGAAGATGTAACAATTATAAATATAAATGCATCTAACTCTGGAGCTCCTAAACTCATAAAACAATTATTACTAGGCCTAAGAAAAGAGATAGTGAGCAACAAAATAGTAGTGGGGAACTTCAGTACTCTGGTGACAATACTAGACATTATCTAGGCAGAAAGTCAACAAAGAAACACTGGGCTTTAAACTGAACTCCAAAAAAAAAAAAAACAATGAACCTAACAGATACTTACATAACATTCTACCCAAGAGCTGAATATACATTCTTCTCATTAGCATATGGAATATTCTCCAAGGTAGACTATATGATAGGCCACAAGCAAGTCTTAACAAATGTAAAAATATCAGAATCATATCAAGTATCTTCTCAGATCACAAGAGAACAAAACTAGAAATCAATTCCAATAGGAATCCTCAAAACTGCATAAACACATGGAAATTAAACAATCAGCTCCTGAATGATTTTTGGTTTAATAAAGGAATCAACATTGAAATTTTAAAATTCTTCAAAATTAATGATAACAGTGACGCAAATTATCAAAACCTCTGGGATGCAGCAAAAACAGTGCTAAGAGGAAAGTTTATAGTGCTAAATGCATATGTTACTCTGTCTGAAAGATCACAAATTGACAACCTAATGTTACATCTCAAGGAAGTAGAGAAACAAGAAGAAACCAAACCCAAAGCTAGCAGAAGAAAAGAAATAACAAAGATCAGAGCAGAACTAAATGAAATTCAGACTAAAAAAATGGTTTTTTGGAAAGACAAAAAATTGGTAGACCATTAGCTATTAACTAAGAAGAGAGAAGTTTCTCTTTTTTTTCCTTTTTTTAAAATTTATACTTTCAGTTCTAGGGTACATGTGCACAACGTGCATGTTTGATACATAGGTATAAATGTGCCATGTAGGTTTGCTGCACCCATCAACTCATCATTTACATTAGGTACTTCTCCTAATGCTATCCCTCCCCCAGCCCACCACTCCCTGACAGGTCCCAGTGTGTGATGTTCCCTGCCCAGTGTCCAAGTGATCTAATTGTTCAATTCCCACCTATGAGTGAAACATGTGGTGTTTGGTTTTCTGTCCTTGTGATAGTCTGCTGAGAATGATGGTTTCCAGCTTCATCCATTTACCGGCAAAGGACATGAACTGATCCTTTTTTGTGGCTGCATAGTATTCCATGGTGTATATGTGCCACATTTTCTTAATCCAGTCAATCATTGGTGGACATTTGGGTTGGTTCCAAGTCTTTGCTATTGTAGTGCCACAAAAAACATACGTGTGCATGTGTCTTTATAGTAGCATGATTTATAATCCTTTGGGTATATACCCAGTAATGGGATTGCTACATCAAATGGTAATTCTAGTTCTAGATCCTTGAGGAATCGCCACACTGTCTTCCACAATGGTTGAACTAATTTACACTCCCACCAACAGTGTAAAAGCATTCCTATTTCTCCACACCCTCTCCAGCATCTGTTGTTTCCTGACTTTTTAATGATTGCCATTCTAACTGGTGTGAGATGGTATCTCATTGTGGTTTTGATTTGCATTTCTCTGATGGCCAGTGATGATGGGCATTTTTCATGTGTCTGTTGGCTACATAGATGTCTTCTTTTGAGAAGCGTCTGTTCATATCCTGTGCCCACTTTTTGATAGGGTTGTTTGTTTTTTTCTTGTAAATTTGTTTGAGTTCTTTGTAGATTCTCTATATTCGCCCTTTGTCAGATGGGTAGATTGCTAAAATTTTCTCCCATTCTGTAGGTTGCCTTTTCACTCTGATGGTAGTTTCTTTTGCAGGGCAGAAGTTCTTTAGTTTGATTAGATCCCATTTGTCTATTTTGGCTTTTGTTCCCATTGCTTTTGGTGTTTTAGTCATGAAGTTCTTGCCCATGCCTATGTCCTGAATGGCATTGCCTAGGTTTTCTTCTAGGGTTTTTATGGTTTTAGGTTTAACATTTAAGTGTTTAATCCACCTTGAATTAATTTTTGTATAAGGTGTAAGGAAGGGAGATTCAGTTTCAGCTTTCTACATATGGCTAGCCAGTTTTCCCAGCACCACTTATTAACTGGGGAATCCTTTCCCCATCTCTTGTTTTTGTCAGGTTTGTCAAATATCAGATGGTTGTAGATGTGTGGTGTTATTTCTGAGGCTTCTATTCTGTTCCATTGGTCTATATATCTGTTTTGGTACCAGTACCATGCTGTTTTTATTACTGTAGCCTTGTAGTGTAGTTTGAAGTCAGGTACCGTGGTGCCTCCAGCTTTGTTCTTTTGGCTTAGGATTGTCTTGGCAATACGGACTCTTTTTGGGTTCCATATGAACTTTCAAGTAGTTTTTTCCAATTCTGTGAAGAAAGGCATTGGTAGCTTGGTGGAGATAGCATTGAATCTATAAATTACTTTGGGCAGTATGGCCATTTTCATGATATTGATTCTTCCTATCCATAGGCATGGAACATTTTCCCATTTGTTTGTGTCCTCTTGTATTTCATTGAGCAGTAGTTTGTTGCTCTCCTTGAAGAGACCCTTCACATCCCTTGTAAGCTGGATTCCTAGGTATTCTATTCTCTTTGAAGCAATTGTGAATGGGAGTTCACTCATGATTTGGCTCTCTGTCTGTTTGTTAATGGTGTATAGGAATACTTGTGATTTTTGCACATTGATTTTGTATCCTGAGACTTTGCTGAAGTTCTTTATCAGCTTAAGGAGACTTTGGGCTGAGATGATGGGGTTTTCTAAATATACAATCATGTCATCTGCAAACAGGGACAATTTGACTTCCTCATTTCTTAATTGAATGCCTTTATTTCTTTCTCTTGCCTGATTGCCCTGGCCAGAATTTCCAACACTATGTTGAATAGGAGTGGTGAGAGAGGGCATCCTTGTCTTGTGCCAGTTTTCAAAGAGAATGCTTCCAGTTTTTGTCATAAATAGCTCATTATTTTGAGATACATTCCATCAATACCTAGTTCATTGAGAGTTTTTAGCATGAAGGGCTGTTGAATTTTGTCAAAGGCCTTTTCTGCATCTATTGAGATAATCATGTGGTTTTTGTCATTGGTTCTGTTTATGTATGGATTACGTTTATTGATTTGCATATATTGAACCAGCCTTGCATCCCAGGCAGGAAGCCGACTTGACTGTGCTGGAGAAGCTTTTTGATGTGCTGCTGGATTCGGTTTGCCAGTATTTCGTTGAGGATTTTCACATCAATGTTCATCAGGGATATTGGTCTAAAATTCTCTTTTTTTGTTGTGTATCTTCCAAGCTTTGGTATCAGGAGATATTGGCCTCATAAAATGAGTTAGGAAGGATTCCCTCTTTTTCTCTTGATTGGAATAGTTTCAGAAGGAATGGTACCAGTTCTTCTTTGCACCTCTGGTAGAATTTGGCTGTGCATGCATCTGGTCCTGGATTTTTTTTGGTTGGTAGGATATAAATTATTGCCTCAGTTTCAGATCCTGTTATTGGTCTATTCAGAGATTCAACTTCTTCCTGGTTTAGTCTTGGGATGGTGTATATGTCCAGAAATTTATCCATTTCATCTAGATTTTCTAGTTTATTTGCATAGAGGTGTTTATAGTATTCTCTGATGGTAGTTTGTATTTCTGTGGGATCGGTGGTGATATTCCCTTTATCATTTTTTATTGCATCTATTTGATTTTTCTCTATTTTCTTCTTTGTTAGTCTTGCTAGCAGTCTATCAATTTTGTTGATCTTTTCAAAAAACCAGCTCCTGGATTCATTGATTTTTTTGAAGGATTTTTTTGTGTCTCTATTTCCTTCAGTTCTGCTCTGATCTTAGTTATTTCTTGCCTTCTGCTAGCTTTTGAATATGTTTGCTCTTGCTTCTCTGGTTCTTTTAATTGTGATGTTAGGGTACCAATTTTAGATCTTTCCTGCTTTCTCTTATGGGCATTTAGTGGTATCAATTTCCCTCTACACACTGCTTTAAATGTGTCCCAGAGATTCTGGTACATTTTGTCTTTGTTCTCATTGGTTTCAAAGAACATCTTTATTTCTGCCTTCATTTCATTATTTACCCAGTAGTCCTTCAGGGCAGGTTTTTCAGTTTCCATGTAGTTGTACAGTTTTGAGTGAGTTTCTTAATCCCGAGTTCTAATTTGATTGCACTGTGGTCTGAGAGACTGTTTGTTGTGATTTCTGTTCATTTACATTTGCTGAGGAGTGCTTTACTTCCAATTATGTGGTCAATTTTAGAATAAGTTTGATGTGGTGCTGAGAAGAGTGTACATTTGTTGATTTTGGGTGGCAAGTTCTGTAGATGTCTATTAGATGTCTATTGTTGCAGAGCTGAGTTCAGGTCCTGGATATCCTTGTTAATCTTCTGTCTCATTGATCTGTCTAATATTGACAGTGGGGTGTTGAAGTCTCCCATTATTATTGTGTGGGAGTCTAAGTCTCTTTGTAGGTCTCTAAGGACTTGCTTTATGAATCTGGGTGCTATTGTATTGGGTGCATATGTATTTAGGATAGTTAGCTCTTCTTGTTTAATTGATCCCTTTACCATTATGTAGTGGCCTTCTTTGTCTCTTTTGATCTTAGTTGGTTTAAAGTCTGTTTCATCAGAGGCTAGGATTGCAACCCCTGCTTTTTTTTTTTTTTTGCTTTCCATTTGCTTGTAGGTCTTCCTCCATCCCTTTATTTTGAGCTTATGTGTGTCTTTGCACATTAGATGGGTCTCCTGAGTACAGCGCACTGATGGTTCTTGACTCTTTATCCAATTTGCCAGTCTGTGTCTATTAATTGGGGCCTTTAGCCCATTTACATTTAAGGTTAATATTGTTATGTGTGAATTTGATCCTGTCATTTTGATGTTCACTGGTTATTTTGCTATTTATTGATGCAGTTTCTTCATAGAATTGATGGTCTTTACAATTTGGCATGTTTTTGCAGTGGCTGGTACTGGTTGTTCCTTTCCATGTTTAGTGCTTCCTTCAGGAGCCCTTCAAAGGCGGGCCTGGTGGTGACGAATCTCTCAGCATTTGCTTGTCTGTAAAGGATTTTATTTCTCCTTCACTTATGAAGCTTAGTTTGGCTGGATATGAAATTCTAGGTTGAATACTCTTTTCTTTAAGAATGTTGAATATTGGCCCACACTCTCTTCTGGCTTGTAGGGTTTTTGCTGAGAGACCCACTGTTAGTCTGATGGGCTTCCCTTTGTGGGTAACTCGACCTTTCTCTCTGGCTGCCTTAACACTTTTTCCTCATTTCAACCTTGATCTGACAATTATGTGTCTTGGGGTTGCTCTTCTCGAGGAGTATCTTTGTGGTGTTCTCTGTATTTCCTGAATTTGAATGTTGGCCTGTGGGAGAAGTTTCAAATGAGCTCTATTAGAAATGAAAATGGAGACGTTACAACAAACACCACAGAAATACTAAAGATCATTCAAGACAACTACAAGCATCTCTATGCACATAAACTAGAAAATCTAGAGGAAATGGATAAATTCCTGGAAACATATGACTCTCCCAGCTTGAATCAGGAAGAAATAGAAACAGGCCAATAACAAGCAGTGAGATGGAATCAGTAATAAAAATTGCCAATGAGAAAAATGTCCAGAGCCAGATGGATTCATAGTTGAATTCTCCCAGACATTCAAAGAAGAATTGATACCAATCCTACTGAAACTATTCCAAAAGATTGAGAAAGAAGGAATCCTCCCTACCTCATTTTATAAGACCAACATCACACTGATACGAAAGCCAGCAAAGGACATAACAAAAAAAAGAAAACCACAGACAAACGTTACAGGTGGTAATACTGGAGGTTTTTCCAGGTAACAGCACTGAGCTCTGTGAGTCATCACTAACAAGGACATGGTGGTGGTGAGTAGCATAAGATGTGCCTAGACAGAAAGGCTGTAATGTATGACCTTTACATATCCTGCAAAGAAACCTGACCCATTATCTTGTAAAGTTGTCAGATTGGTGTTCAGTTGGTGAGAGGGGCTAGTGATTTATAATGGGGTCACAATTCAACAACTGCAAAGCCTCCGATTCCATTTCTACCTACAGAGGTAGAAACTACCCAAATCTCATCTTTCCATTCTGTTTAATGAGATCTCCTTAATCACAGAAGATCCTTAATCACCCATATGTTAGATATATGCAATCCTTGGTCCTTTTTTCTGTCTTTCCCCAAAATGGCTTCTGGCCCCTGCCCCAGGACACGCTTTCCCTGAGCAGCTCTGTCTGCTGGCTCTGCATGTGTGGTCCCTCACAAACCTAGGGTGTTTTGTCATGATCTCTGTCCCTTGCCTTCCATCAGTCCTTCCTCCATTCTGAACTTCCAGAGTGGGCTTGCACAAATGAGCACTAGGTGAGTTGGATAGAGGAATTTCTCTTCAAATCCATTTGTAACGGTGATACACTTTTCCCACGGTACAATAAAGGGATGACTTGTAGGTTTTCAGAGATTCAAAGATTCAAAGATAAAAGGTATTGAAAGATAAAAAGATGTCATTTTGCTTGACAAAATATTTCTTTTCTCTTTGTTTCCAGAACTCAGTCATGAAGCCTTGGGGATTCCATCAAAAAGCATTTCTCTCAGGGATGTGATGCTGAATTTTCTTTACTATTATCACAGAGAGTGTCTTCAGGTAGCAATTTCAAGAACTTCATTTGCATGTGAACCTTTCAACAATGATAATTCTCATTTCAAGTGTCAAAGAAAGTAAACTAAAATGAAGATTTTGCTTCATTCTGTGTGTCTATACCCAATATAATTTTCGGGCCTGGGTAGATAATCATGAGCTATATACTTGGTGCCATTGAACCCATCTAGAGATGCACTCAGGCCAAAATAATCTTTCAAATTGCTTTCATTAGCCACACTGGTGAGAATGTACCTCACTGGCATTTTCCCACCTCTAGACATTAGTGTCATTCCAAAACCGATATCCAACAATACCCAAAAGGTCTGGGATGTGTTTTGCAGAGTGTAGGATTACTCTGGTAAATGTCTGAAAATCATTCATGAAAATGCACGGAGAAAGACGTAAATATAGTCATGCCCTTACGAATGACATTCCAGTAAATGATGAGCTGCATATGTGATGGTGGCCCCATAAGATTATAATGGAGCGTGAAAATTTCTGTCACCTAGTGACATCATAACCCTTGTAACATTATAGTGCAATGCTTTACTCACATGTTTGTGGTGTTGCTGCTGTAAACAAACCTACTACACTGACAGTCATTTTAAAGTACAGCACCTACAATTACGCACAATATATAATACTTGATGATGATAATAAGTGACCGTGTTACCAGCTTATTTATTTGTCACACTATACTTTTAATCATTACTTTAGAGAATGCTTTTTTCACTTAAATAAAAAAGTAAACCATAAGACAGCCACAGGCAGGTCCTTCAGGAGGTATTCCAGGAGAAGGCATTGTTACCACAGGAAATGACAGCTCCATGCATGTTATTGACCTTGAAGACCATCCGGTAAGACAAGATGTGGAGGTGGAAGTCAGTGATATTGATGATCCTGACTTTGTGTAAGCCTAGGCTAATTTGTGTGTTTGTGTCTAGTTTTTAACAAAAGAAAAATTAAAGCAAAAATAAATATTTTTTAAAATAAAAAACTTTAGAATAAAGATGTAAAGAAAGACAATATTTTTCTAATGCTGTACAATATGTGTTCTAAGTGTTACTACAAAGAATCAAAAAGTTTAAAAATATTTAAAAGTTTATAAAGTTAAAAAAGTACAGTAAACTAAGGTTAATTAAACATTGAAGAAATAAAAATGTTTGTATAAATTGGGCGTAGCCTAATTGTCTAGTATTTATAAAGTATACATTAGTGTACAGTGATGTCATAGGCTTTCACTTTCACTCATCACTCTCACTGACTCACCCAGAGCAACTTCCAGTCTCGCAAGCTCCATTCATGCCAAGTGTGCTACAGTAGTTTTACTATGCTTTTTCTATGTTTAGATACACAAACATTTATCATTAAGTTACAATTGTCTACGGTGTTTAATGCAGTAACCTGCCGTACAGGTTTTAGCATAGAAGCAATGGGCTATACCATACAGCCTAAGTGTGTAGTAGGTTGCACCATCTAGGTTTGTGTAATTATACTGTATGATGTTTGCACAATAATTAAACCACCTAACAATGCATTTCTCAGAACATTTTCCCATCATTAAGCAACATAGACTGTATACCCGAGGCTAAGCTTCAGAGATTTTCACAAACGGTTCTAGCCTCTCTTTCAGTCTATGGTTTCAGTGGTTGTGAAATAGCTGAGCATAGGTGGGAGAATTTTATGAGCTTGTGTTTCCCTACTAGAGGAAATTGACTTCTTTTACATTCCTGTACAAATAAAATATTTCCTTTTTATAAGAAAAAAGCACCAGTGATGGTGAGCATTTTTTCATGTGTTTTTTGGCTACATAAATATCTTCTTTTGAGAAGTGTCTGCTCAAGTCCTTTGCCCACTTTTTGGTGGGGTTGTTTGTTTTTTTCTTGTAAATTTGTTTGAGTTCATTATAGATTCTGGATATTAGCCCTTTGTCAGATGAGTAGGTTGTGAAAATTTTCTCCCATTTTGTAGGTTGCCTGTTCACTCTGATGGTAGTTTCTTTTGCTGTGCAGAAGCTCTTTAGTTTAATTAGATCCCATTTGTCAATTTTGGCTTTTGTTGCCATTGCTTTTTGTGTTTTAGACATGAAGTCCTTGCCCATGCCTATGTCCTGAATGGTAATGCCTAGGTTTTCTTCTAGGGTTTTTATGGTTTTAGGTCTAACATTTAAGGCTTTAATCACTGGCCATCAGAGAAATGCAAATCAAAAACCACAATGAGATACCATCTCACACCAGTTAGAATGGCAATCATTAAAAAGTCAGGAAACAACAGGTGCTGGAGAGGATGTGGAGAAATAGGAACACTTTTACACTGTTGGTGGGACTGTAAACTAGTTCAACCATTGTGGAAGTCGGTGTGGCGATTCCTCAGGGATCTAGAACTAGAAATACCATTTGACCCAGCCATCCCATTACTGGGTATATACCCAAAGGAATATAAATCATGCTGCTATAAAGACACATGCACACGTATGTTTATTGTGGCACTATTCACAATAGCAAAGACTTGGAACCAACCCAAATGTCCAACAATGATAGACTGGATTAAGAAAATGTGGCACATACACACCATGGAATACTATGCAGCCATAAAAAAGGATGAGTTCATGTCCTTTGTAGGGACATGGATGAAATTGGAAATCATCATTCTCAGTAAACTATCGCAAGAACAAAAAACCAAACACCGCATATTCTCACTCATAGGTGGGAACTGAACAATGAGAACACATGGACACAGGAAGGGGAACATCACACTCTGGGGACTGTTGTGGGGTGGGGGGAGGGGGGAGGGATAGCTTTAGGAGATATACCTAATGCTAAATGACGAGTTAATGGGTGCAGCACACCAGCATGGCACATGTATACATATGTAACTAACCTGCACATTGTGCACATGTACCCTAAAACTTAAGATATAATAATAATAAAAGAAAAGAAAAGAAAAAAGCACCTTGATTTGTTAGCCATATAATTCATTACTTAGCATCCACCAAATCCATAAGACGTTGCTACAGATGTCTGCACAACAAAATACCTGATTACCACCTACATCCTGCAATATGTATGGGAAATTGCTTCCATCTTATCTCTGACAGTTATGCACCATAAACCAGTTTCTACTACCCTGGAAACTTAATTCCACAGCAGTTTTACTCATCATCATCCCTAGCCTACACTGGGAGCCCTGCAGAGCTTTCCAACAATGACAATGACTTTGTCAACGGTGTATTCCTTAATGCATTAATAAAATGAGATCCCTGGAGCCCTAGGGTGAGCCAGATGAGAGATTGTGGGGTGGGGGAAGAGCAGGCAGTGATGGTTAGTTAGGCAGTGACAGAGCGGATTACACATATGGCATCAGTTACAATATATCTATCTTCAGATACTTTCAGACATCATCTTCTGTAGTCTGTCAGGTTGATCAAACATTTTTACCTCCATAAGTGTAGAGAAAAGAAGGAGAGATCAGACTGTTACTGTGTCTGTATAGAAAGGGAAGATATAAGAAATTTCATTTTGACCTGTACCCTGAACAATTGCTTTGCCCTGAGATGCTGTTAATCTGTAACTTTGCCCCAGCCACTTTGCCCCAACCTCTTTGCTCCAACCTTGAGCTCACAAAAATATGTGTTGTATGGAATCAAGGTTTAAGAGATCTAGGGCTGTGCAGGATGTGCCTTGTTAACAAAATGTTTACAGGCAGTATGCCTGGTAAAAGTCATTGCCATTCTCTAGTCTCGATAAACCAGAGGCACAATGCACTGCGAAAAGCTGCAGGGACCTCTGCTCTGGAAAGCCAGGTATTGTCCAAGGTTTCTCCCCACGTGATAGTCTGAAATATGGCTTCGTGGCATGGGAAAGATATGACCATCCCCCAGGCTGACACCAGTAAGGGTCTGTGCTGAGGAGGATCAGTAAAAGAGGAAAGTCTCTTGCAGTTGAGATAGAGGAAGGCCACCGTCTCTTGCCTGTCCCTGGGAACCAAATGTCTCGGTATAAAACCCGATTGCACCTTTGTTCTATTCTGAGATAGGAGAAAAACCGCCCTGTGGCAGGAGGCGAGACATGTTGGCAGCAATGCTGCTTTGTTATTCTTTACTCCATTGAGATGTTTGGGTGGAGAGAAACATAAATCTGGCCTATGTGCACATCCAGGTATAGTACCTCCCCTTGAACTTAATTATGACACAGATTCTTTTGCTCACATGTTTTTTTGCTGACCTTCTCCCTATTATCACCCTGCTCTCCTACCACATTCCTCTTGCTGAGATAGTGAAAGTAATAATCAATAAAAACTGAAGGGAACTCAAAGACCGGTGCCGGTGCAGGTCCTTGGTATTCTGAGTGCCGGTCTCCTGGGCCCACTGTTCTTTCTCTGTGCTTTGTTTCTGTGTCTTATTTCTTTTCTCAGTCTCTTGTCCCACCTGACGAGATACACCCACAGGTGTGGTGGGGCTGGCCCCCTTCACATAACTATAACTGCTTTCAGTTTAACATTCAGTTAAACAGCTTAGAAAATTATTGCCATTATTCCAGGAACTCAATCGATCACATTAAATCTCAAATCCATGGTGAATATGCCCATGTCAATCAACTTGGCCATATGAAACTTAATATATTTTTCTCTTTGGTCTCATGTCTAAGAATCCATTCCTGAACTTGTTCCCCAGACACTTGCCAGTAGAAATTGATAAGGTCCTGTAAATATTACCAGATCAGATTTTTTTTTTTTTTGAGACAGAGTCTCACTCTATTGCCGAGGCTGGAGTGCAGTGGCATGATCTTGGCTCACTGCAACCTCTGCCACCCGGGTTCAAGCAGTTCTCCTGCCTCAGCCTCCTGAGTAGGTGGGATTACAGGTGACTGCCACCATACCTGGCTAATTTTTTGTATTTTTAGTAGAAACAGGATTTCACCATGTTGACCAGGAGGGTCTCGAACTCCTGACCTCATGATCCACCCACCTCAGCCTCTGAAAGCACTGGGATTACAGGCATAAACCACTATGCCCAGCCTACCAGATCAGATTTGATATCTCACTGTCTGGGCTATGATGATTTTTAAGTTTCATCAGGAACCCAGAAGTAATGTGGAATAATGGGACTGGGCATTGAGGAGAATGGTAACAGCATGTGATCTCCTCTTTCAGGTGCAGTCAGTAAAATGCATTCATCCAGGGAAAGTCCTTGTTCTCTCAGGTTCTGGGGGGAAAAAACCCATTTTTAAAAAGAGGCTCAAGAGAATTTGAGGTTCAGAATTCTCACACTTGTCTTTCTCGGCCTAAATGCTCTCAATCCTATGTCTCAGGACATCACACCTTTCTCATTAAATACTTGCCGACATTAAGCATTTATTTGGGCTACATCTTTGCAATGCCAGCAATCAGGACATAGCATTTTTTTTCTGGGGACACGGTGTTGCTCTGTCACTCAGGCTGGAGTGATGTGGTGCAATCATAGCTCACTGCAGCCTCACATCCTCAGGCTCACATGATCCTCTCAGCTCAGCATTCTGAGTGGCTGAGACTACAGGTGCACACCACATGCAGCTAATTTTTTATTTTTTATAGAGACGAAGGTCTCACTATGTTGCCCAGGCTAGTCTGGCCTCAAGTGATTCTCCTGCCTTGTCCTCCCAAAGCACTGGGATTACAGGCATGTGCCACCACGCCTGGCCCATAGCACTTGTTTTTCACTATATTTTCCCAAGGACTACAGAAGATAAGAATCATTTTGACTTCCTGTTTGTTTTTTCAGTTGGATGGTAACAGATTTTAATTTCAGCAAATCCAGCTCACCACATAAGATTTATAATCACTATATTCATGCCTTTGTCACAGTAAATTTATCTCTCAATACCTTGCCCTTGATCTGCCCTTCATACTTTGATGCCACTGGTGATCATTTATGTAAATTTGATGTCACAGGATTTCATACATTATTAATGTCTCATTTCTTCCATCACATATTTCTCCACCTAATCTTCAAATACGTAAACAACCCAATCCCTTGTGAATATTTATCTTCTTGGACTACTTCTAGGACCAGTGGTAGTCACAAATCTTGCAAGTAAAGATGGCCATTAAAATTGGTTCATTTGAGCAGGGTTTAATAAAGGGATTACTACAAAGAAACATTTGTGATGTAGGTAATTCCAAGGAAATTCTGGGAATAAGCCTATTTAATGGTTAATTTTAGGTATCAACTTGACTGGATTAAGGCATACCTAGAGAAATAATAAATCATCATTTTAAGGTATGTCTGTGAGGGTGTTTCCAGAGAAAATTGGCATGTGAAATGGAATGGATTAAATGAGGAAGATCTGCAATTAATGCAGGTTGACACCATCCAATCAACTGGGGGCCCAGAGAGAATAAAAACAGAGGACATGTGAATTGGTTTGTCTCTATTCTGGAGCTGGGATATACTCCTCCTCCTGTCCTTGGATATCAGAACTCCAGGCTGTTTAGCTTTTTAACTCCAGGATTTACACCACAAGCCTCTTGGGTTCTCAGCCCTTTGAACTTGGACTGAACCACACTACTGGAATTCTAGGGTCTCCGGTATATAGTCTGCCTTTTGTCGGACTTCTCAGCCTCCTTAATCACGTGAGCCAATTTTCCTAATAAACCCCCTCTTGTAAACCTCTATGTCTGTCTATCTATCTATCTATCTATCTATCTATCTATCTATCTATCTATCTCTCTATCTCCTATTGGTTCTGTCTCTCTGGAGAACGCTTACTAATACACCCTAGAACTAATAACTTCTGAGCACTGTTACCACCTCTATCCTTAATCATACAAGAAGAGAGAGAGGTTATGGGCACTGAAGAAAGAGTTTTGAAAAAGGGTCACCTGTTAGTAGCTATGGTCTAAGGCCATGGATACACCAGTTGTGCCATGTCTGTAGATAAGGAGCCTGGGGGAAACTCTCTGCCTTCACTGTCCTCCCTGCCATTGATAACCATTGGGTAAAGCTATTAAATAGTAAGCAAAGATCCCACTGATGCAAATTAATACAGGTGAACATCCTGGAGCAAAAAAAGGAGTTTAGAAGGATGGAGAATGGATTTGGAGGGAAAAATGAGATACATCCAACATACAACAGAAATATTAGTAAGGAAGTTCGTATGTGTTTTAATATGCAAATATAAACATATGAATATTAATAACACACATAATATATGTGTATACATATTATAGTTAAGCTTCTGCACAACTCAAGGGAGAATGAGAATAAAAATTATAACTAATTACATTTTTCACAAGGGAATCATAGTCTCCAAAATTTTTCCTCCTTTCTCAGTAATAATCCCCAATTCATCAATACAAAATTTAGTTTAATTGCCTTGTTAGCTATTCTCCAAATTGTGAAACCCTGAGGGGTTTCAGGAATCCGTAACCCTGGGAATTCATACTCTGACATAAAAGAATCTGGGAAAGGCAAACTTAAATTCTATTGAGATGATGGTGTTGCTGAGAATTTTAGGTAAGTTGCTTAATTCAAATGTTAAATGTAGATGGAAAATTTTTCTTCTTCCTCATAACCAGTCCAATAACCATTTACATAGTAATATATGATAAGTGCTAAAGAAAGCTTTTCTTTTTTTCTTGAGACAGAGTCTCACTCTGTTGCCCAGGCTGGAGTGCAGTGGAGGTGCCTTCATGGCTCACTGCAACCTCAATCTCCCAAGATCAAGCAATCTTCCCACCTCAGCTTCTGGAGGAGCATGGACTACAGGTACACCCTATCACATCTGGCTAATTTTTTTTTTTTATTTTTTGTAGAAACAAGATTTCACCTTGTCACCCAGTCTCGTTTTGAACTCCTACACTCAGCCTCCCAAAGTGCTGGGATTGCAGGTGTGAGCCACTGCCCCTGTTTTGAAATATATTCATCATCTTCCTGTTTTAATTTCTAAAACTGCTGGCAGCTCACACACAGAAGTAGAATTTCACACTATTAGATTCAAAAAAAAGAGCAATTAACAACACAGAAAATTGCAAGGGAAGAAAAAAAAACAAATGCACAAACAGGCAACGATTAGGAGCCACTAACAAAAGAGATAGTCTTGTTAATATCTCAAGAGCAAGAATGAGAAGAAAGAATTAAATAGAAGATATTATCAGTCTAACGGCCAAAAGACATCAAGAAAAGCTTAACATGTTGCTTTTAAAGTTTGATATTCTTTAAGAAAGTGTGAAGGCATATGGTAATTTTAAGGAAACCTCTAACAATAGAAGCATATCTCTAAATACAAAAAGTTGTATTTTAATAATTTTGGATGAAGAATGCACTTTTAGCTTTTAATATAAAAATATAATATTAGTTAGGAAGGATAGTATGTTAGCTGGTTAGTACTTCCTGCCAGCTATTATAGTCTTCTTGTTCTGATTAAGAAATACAGATGTTGGCTTGTCAAACCATCCTCTCTACCAGTGTACATAAGTAAGTATCCAGGGAAACACAAAGGAAATGTGTGTTTTACCATTTTTTTGTGTGTGTGTGTGTGTGTGTGTCCCAGGGTGTATTATGAGCATTGTTTTTTCCAGTGAGAAGAATTATATACTTTTCTTAACAGTCTCAGAGGTAGCTGAGCTCAATAAAACTCAATTATCTTTTCTGAGTAATGAACCTCAGAGCAAAATATGTGAACGAAGGGATGGAAGAGTCAAAGGGAAAGAGCATCACCCTGGGCTCCCTAAGAATAGTTAGACCTGTGAACTATTGAGCAAAGGCTACTGGTGATGGGATGGAGAAGAGAATGCTGATAGGAGAAGAAAGTACATCAAACTGTCAGTAGGTGATAATATATAAAAATTTAATACATTGAAATATTTTACATAAAAAAACAATCCATCCCAGCATTTTGGAAGGCTGAAGCAGGCAGATCACTTGAGGTCAGCAGTTTGAGACCAACCTGGCCATCATGGTTAAACCTTGTCTCTACTAAAAATACAAAAAAAGTAGCCGAGTGTGGTGGCACATGCCTGTAATCCCAGCTACTGGGGAGGCTGATGCAGGAGAGTCACTTGAGCCTGGGAGGCAGAGGTCTCAGTGAGCTGCCGAGATCGCACCACTGCACTCCAGACTGGGCAACAGAGCGAGACTCTGTCTCAAAAAAAAAAAAAAAAAAAAGCAATCCATTGCTTTACAACACTGTAACATCATTAGTTACGATAAACTAAGCACATTATTTTTCTACCATCATATGAGGAAATTATTATCCCATTTAATAGATAAGAAATAAAATTAAAGCAATTTAAATGAGTTTTCCAAGGTCCCTATTATAGAAATTGTTGCCATTAGGATTCAAATGTAGATCTGTTTATAGATCATCTTATAAAATTTGTAACTTTAAAATTAAAAAGAATAAAATTTATGACTTTAAAATTAAAAAGAATAAAATTTATAACTTTAAAATTAAAAAGAATAAAATTTATAACTTTATGCAGCAAATCTTTACATTTGTTAATTTCTTTTTTTTTTTTTTTGCCAGCACTGTTCTTTATTGTGCTAGTGTGCCACTGTCTTATTTATTTTTTTTTTAATTATACTTTAAGTTTTAGGGTACATGTGCACATTGTGCAGGTTAGTTACATATGTATACATGTGCAATGCTGGTGCGCTGCACCCACTAACTCGTCATCTAGCATTAGGTATACCTCCCAATGCTATCCCTCCCCCCACCCCACAACAGTCCCCAGAATGTGATATTCCTCTTCCTGTGTCCATGAGATCTCATTGTTCAATTCCCACCTATGAGTGAGAATATGCGGTGTTTGGTTTTTTGTTCTTGCGATAGTTTACTGAGAATGATGATTTCCAATTTCATCCATGTGCCTACAAAGGACATGAACTCATCCTTTTCTATGGCTGCATAGTATTCCATGGTGTATATGTGCCACATTTTCTTAATCCAGTCTATCATTGTTGGACATTTGGGTTGGTTCCAAGTCTTTGCTATTGTGAATAATGCCGCAATAAACATACGTGTGCATGTGTCTTTATAGCAGCATGATTTATAGTCCTTTGGTTATATACCCAGTAATGGGATGGCTGGGTCAAATGGTATTTCTAGTTCTAGATCCCTGAGGAATCGCCACACTGACTTCCACAATGGTTGAACTAGTTTACAGTCCCACCAGCAGTGTAAAAGTGTTCCTATTTCTCCACATCCTCTCCAGCACCTGTTGTTTCCTGACTTTTTAATGATTGCCATTCTAACTGGTGTGAGATGGCATCTCATTGTGGTTTTGATTTGCATTTCTCTGATGGCCAGTGATGATGAGCATTTTTTCATGTGTTTTTTGGCTGCATAAATGTCTTCTTTGGAGAAGTGTCTGTTCATGTCCTTCGCCCACTTTTTGATGGAGTTGTTTGTTTTTTTTCTTGTAAATTTGTTTGAGCTCATTGTAGATTCTGGATATTAGCCCTTTGTCAGATGAGTAGGTTGCAAAAATTTTCTCCCATTTTGTAGGTTGCCTGTTCACTCTGATGGTAGTTTCTTTTGCTGTGCAGAAGCTCTTTAGTTTAATTAGATCCCATTTGTCAATTTTGTCTTTTGTTGCCATTGCTTTTGGTGTTTTAGACATGAAGTCCTTGCCCATGCCTATGTCCTGAATGGTAATGCCTAGGTTTTCTTCTAGGGTTTTTATGGTTTTAGGTCTAACGTTTAAGTCTTTAATCCATCTTGAATTGATTTTTGTGTAAGGTGTAGGGAAGGGATCCAGTTTCAGCTTTCTACATATGGCTAGCCAGTTTTCCCAGCACCATTTATTAAATAGGGAATCCTTTCCCCATTGCTTGTTTTTCTCAGGTTTGTCAAAGATCAGATAGTTGTAAATATGTGGCGTTATTTCTGAGGGCTCTGTTCTGTTCCATTGATCTATATCTCTGTTTTGGTACCGGTACCATGCTGTTTTGGTTACTGTAGCCTTGTAGTATAGTTTGAAGTCAGGTTGCGTGATGCCTCCAGCTTTGTTCTTTTGGCTTAGGATTGACTTGGTGATGCAGGCTCTTTTTTGGTTCCACATGAACTTTCAAGTAGTTTTTTCCAATTCTGTGAAGAAAGGCATTGGTAGCTTGATGGGGATGGCATTGAATCTGTAAATTACCTTGGGCAGTATGGCCATTTTCACAATATTGATTTTGCCTATCCATGAGCATGGAATGTTCTTCCATTTGTTTGTATCCTCTTTTATTTCCTTGAGCAGTGGTTTGTAGTTCTCCTTGAAGAGGTCCTTCACATCCCTTGTAAGTTGGATTCCTAGGTATTTTATTCTCTTTGAAGCAATTGTGAATGGGATTTCACTCATGATTTGGCTCTCTGTTTGTGTGTTGTTGGTGTGTAAGAATGCTTGTGATTTTTGTACATTGATTTTGTATCCTGAGACTTTGCTGAAGTTGCTTATCAGCTTAAGGAGATTTTGGGCTGAGACAATGGGGTTTTCTAGATATACAATCATGTCGTCTGCAAACAGGGACAATTTGACTTCCTCCTTTCCTAATTGAACACCCTTTATTTCCTACTCCTGCCTAATTGCCCTGGCCAGAACTTCCAACACTATGTTCAATAGGAGTGGTGAGAGAGGGCATCCCTGTCTTGTGCCAGTTTTCAAAGGGAATGCTTCCAGTTTTTGCCCATTCAGTATGATATTGGCTGTGGGTTTGTCATAGATAGCTCTTATTATTTTGCGATACATTCCATCAATACCTAATTTATTGAGAGTTTTTAGCATGAAGGGTGGTTGAATTTTGTCAAAGGCTTTTTCTGCATCTATTGAGATAATCATGTGGTTTTTGTCTTTGGCTCTGTTTATATGCTGGATTACATTTATTGATTTGCATATATTGAACCAGCCTTGCATCCCAGGGATGAAGCCCACTTGATCATGGTGGATAAGCTGTTTGATGTGCTGCTGGATTCGTTTTGCCAGTATTTTATTGAGGATTTTTGTATCAATGTTCATCAAGGATATTGGTCTAAAATTCTCTTTTTTGGTTGTGTCTCTGCCAGGCTTTGGTATCAGAATGATGCTGGCCTCATAAAGTGAGTTAGGGAGGATTCCCTCTTTTTCTATTGATTGGAATAGTTTCAGAAGGAATGGTACCAACTCCTCCTTGTACCTCTGGTAGAATTCGGCTGTGAATCCATCTGGTCCTGGACTCTTTTTGGTTGGTAAGATATTGATTATTGCCACAATTTCAGATCCTGTTATTGGTCTATTCAGAGATTCAACTTCTTCCTTGTTTAGTCTTGGGAGAGTGTATGTGACGAGGAATTTATCCATTTCTTCTAGATTTTCTAGTTTATTTGCGTAGAGGTGTTTGTAGTATTCTCTGATGGTAGTTTGTATTTCTGTGGGATCAGTGGTGATATCCCCTTTATCATTTTTTATTGTGTCTATTTGATTCTTCTCTCTTTTTTTCTCTATTAGTCTTGCTAGCAGTCTATCAATTTTGTTGATCCTTTCAAAAAACCAGCTCCTGGATTCATTAATTTTTTGAAGGATTTTTTTGTGTCTCTATTTCCTTCAGTTCTGCTCTGATTTTAGTTATTTCTTGCCTTCTGCTAGCTTTTGAATGTGTTTGCTCTTGCTTTTCTAGTTCTTTTAATTGTGATGTTAGGGTGTCAATTTTGGATCTTTCCTGCTTTCTCTTGTGGGCATTTAGTGCTATAAATTTCCCTCTACATATGCTTTGAATGCGTCCCAGAGATTCTGGTATGTTGTGTGTTTGTTCTCGTTGGTTTCAAAGAACATCTTTATTTCTGTCTTCATTTCGTTATGTACCCAGTAGTCATTCAGGAGCAGGTTGTTCAGTTTCCATGTAGTTGAGCAGTTTTGAGTGAGATTCTTAATCCTGAGTTCTAGTTTGATTGCACTGTGGTCTGAGAGATAGTTTGTTATAATTGCAGAAATACTTTTTATGCAAGGTTGTGATGGACTTGGTGCAAGCCTGTTATTTTTTGCAGAATCTTTTGTGATGGTTTTGTTCTCAGGCATACAATCTTGAGAACCCTCTCTTCATGCTTTCCCCAGCTCGCTTTGTGAGTTTTTTTTTTTTTTATATTAGTGACTCCATTTTGATTCTGACAACTTTCATATTTTCTCCCTTTTGATCAAGACTTTCTCCAAAGGCATCACTGAACAATAATCATGTAGCTAGATTTTGATATCCCTTCGTGCTGGAATGGACCTATGCCTGGGCTGGTCTCATCCCACCTTAGGGGGAGAGTTTGGTGACTAGCAGTCAGTGTTAAAACCTCTTTAGCCACACTGAGCAACAAGGGAAGTTTGAAGGGAGTGGGACACAGACTGAGTCTACCTGGAGTTTATTATTAAGTTGAATTTTCTCTGTTCTGTAGTCTTTTGCAACCATACCAAAGTGCTGGGCCAACATTATATCCTTAGGAGTTGTACTTCCACACATATTTAAGAAGTAACAGCTACAAAGTTTAAAAAAGGAAAATACAAAGTAAAATTAATAGTAATATCACAATTCCAGTTTATATAATAGTTTTCAGTCATAAACCCAGGCTTAAAGGCAACCAACTGAATAAAGCAAATGACATTAGAGAATTAGGTGAGATCTGTTGTAATCAGATGGCCTGTTTTCTTATTTTGCATATGTGGGTCCCAACTTCCCCGGAGGAGTTTATCCAAGTACATAATGTAATATTAGCAATAGCACAGACATTTTCTTATTTAACCAGTGGATAATAAATAATTTCTTGTATTAGGTTTTGTTAAGATACCAGCATAAACTACTGATTGTAAAACTTTAATTACACTATTATTTCGCCAAGTAAGAAAGGTAGCATTAAGAGGAGTAAGAGTCTTATTATGACATGGAGTCATTCTGATTTCTTTAGGAAAGCTGTATACAGTGACCAAAAAAAAAAAAAAATGTGAATTTCTCCTCCTGGTTAGAATGTCTCTGGTCATGACATCATGTAGCTTGGTAAACTTTTTGGGTGGCCCACACATCAGACACAATTCTTGTCCCTTAAAATTCATCTCATTTCAGCTTATAAGGCTTTAGGAAAAAATCAGGTTTTGTTGTTAATTGTAGCCAAATATTGGAGGAGAATTCAGGTTCTAATCCTGTCTATAGATACGTAATAAGAACTTAAAAGTAATGCACAGAACCACAATCTAATAACAAGTGTATTATAATTTTCTTTAGAAACAATTTTTCTCTATACATTCAGGATCTAATCTAGTTAACAGGTGGATAACAAGAACTTGAAAGCAATGCATATGACTATAATCTAATGTTTATTATAGCTTTTTTTTTTAGAATCATAATGTTTTCTTTCTGTATTGATGACATAAAAATCTCCAAGTTGAAACCTTATTGAGGCTAGGAAGCCAAACCAAGGTAGGCTTTACATTTTACTTCCATTCTTAAGGTTCCTAGGCCTGCCAGGAAGTGACAATTATTATTTATTTACTGTAAGGATGAAAACCCTATGAGGCCAAGCATTTAAAGTTCATTCTCAAATATTTTACTTTAGTCAAAACCTTGACAATATAACCAATGTTTCCAATTTTATTCTCTTAAAAAGAGGAAACAAAATTTTATTGAATGTATGTTAACAATCCTATTGTTATAAAGCAATAAGTATACTCATGAATAGTTTCCAAATATTGGAGGAATCAAGTACGGAGAAAAATCAAATGCTTCCACCTTTGTTCACAAAAATATACTTTACCGAATTGTTACAAACTATAGATAGTGTATGAAAGAAAATGTCCTTAAACCCAGAAAACAAATTGTTTAAGTAAAGAATCAACAATTATTTAAATAAGTTCTGAAAACATTACCATCGATTATTTAATTTTATATAATTAATTTTTTGTTTTGCTTCATCTTGATTAACTGCTTCATGAACTCATCCGTTTCTTTGTTAGAGCTCTGAACATTTTGATTTTTGTCTTTCAATCATAAGGGTATCAGAAATCTATGTTCAAGAGTACTCGTTATAGTCTTTTCCATGAAAAGCAATATAGGTGACTACAAATGATTTTACAGAAGATTCAAAACAACTGTGGATGACAAAAACTTAGAATATCCATGGTTAAAAATGTAATGAGAATTCACAATTGACAAGGGATTTTAATTTAGTTATTTGTATTTATGTACTTTTTTTTTTTTTTTGAGACGGAGTTTTGCTCTTGTTGCCCAGCCTGGAGTGCAATGGCATGATATCCCCTCATTGCAACCTCTGCCTCCCGGGTTCAAGCGATTCTCCTGCCTCAGCCTCCTGAGTAGGTAGGATTACAAGCATGGGCCACCATGCCAGGCTAATTTTTTTGTATTTTTAGTAGAGACGGGGTTTCTCCATGTTGGTCAGGCTGGTCTTGAACTCCCAACCTCAGGTGATCCGCCCACCTCGGCCTCCCAAAGTGGTGGGATTACAGGCGTGAGCCACTGCGCCCAGCCTATTTATGTACATTTTAAGATGACAACAAGAACCATAACTGATAGCATCACATCAGAACTCGTAGACTTTTATAAATTTTATATAATCTTTAGAACACTCACATTAATAACATATCACACACACATAACTTTAGAAAAGATTTAACATAACAAACAAAATTATGACTCATAACATTAAATGTAGCATGTATATAATTTTTGAAAAAATTAGACAATAATATATCTATAAATGTAACTGAAAGAAAATCTAGTATCATTTATCATTTGACAGTTCTTTAATTTACCAAATAAGCCTAATCATTTAATATTTCTACAAAATGAGAGATACATTCTTTAAGTCTCTCCAAGGACTTAACTGAAAATCTCTAAGTTAATTCTAGGTCAAAAGATTTAATTTAGGATTTTGACCTGAGGGAAGCCTACCAGATGTCAAAGGTTCAAAAGACTTGATCAAAACAGAATCACAGGTCTCTGTAAAATATCAGTCATTAACCAGAGTAATAATCAAAAGACTTCAAAATAAATGCAGAAAGTTACATGGGTGTAAGAACCTTAACCCTGTTAAAGCTCAGTTTTTCTAAGTAATCAAAAATTTAATAAAGACAACACAGGAAATTATCTTTATAAAATTTTAAATCTTTATTTTTTATAAAGCCAGTTATTAAAAAGGTAAAGATAAACGTACTGCAGTTTCATTGTTTTTCCTTAAGGGAAGCTCATTTAGATAACCTGGAAGTCAAACCTGATGAAAAGGGCACCTGAATTTAACCAGACACAGGAGGAGTGTGTCCAGGTTGTAAGGTTATGCTATATTATAGAGGAATGTAAACAAGAAAACTAATATCTTGAACAGAGGAATACCTGGCTCTTAGTAACAACGTGGAAAGTTTCCTGGTCACAATTCACACACAGCAAGAAAAACCTAAAGTATAAAATCAAATTATACTGAGGGAAAACATTGGTTTTCTAGGCCTTTAAGATAAGTATTTCAGCATCAGGCTATAACAGTGTTAGAACCAGGAAGAAAAAGAGTTGATGAAAAGGTTGAAAGAAAGAGCTATCACTCCAGCCAAGCAAAAAAACAAACAACAACAACAACAACAACAAACCCACACATTTTTAAGGGAAGAAAGAGAGCTGAAGACAATGATTCAGGACCTGCCAATTATATGCAGCAAGATACAGCAAAAGTTAAACTTCTGAGACATAAATCTGAAATGTTTCCAGAAAAAATTTACCTCCAAAAATAAAAGTACAATTCTGGATGAAAAAGACAGCATTTCAAAACTAAAACTAGAGAAATTAAATAGATCTCAGGAAGAAATATGGCAGAAATAGAAATTGTCTGTAGTTTAGAATATCACCATTAAGAAAAACATGTTTCAGAATTAAAAATCAAAAATTTTTGCAGTCTTACTAAGAGCAAATCAATATATTAAGAAAATCTTTTTCTAATATAGGGGACCAAATTTTTTAGTTTAATGTTAGTATATTTTCAATGTTAAGTCTCATTTTATAGACAGTCATAATTTTTTTTAAATTATAGCCAACTTGATCACATACAAAATTTCTTTTATAAATTCCCCCTTTCACAAACACCATACCTACTCAGACCATTTACAGCATGCTTAAACTTTCTGTTATGTCTTATACTTAATCTTTCTTAAATAACCAGTCATTTTACTTTAGAACAAAAAGTTACCACAAAATATTTTTTCTCATACAAAATTATCTTCTTTTCAACTTGTTTTGCAAAAATATATTTTCATACCCATAACTTTTTTCCTATCTCTGTCTCTCTCCTACTTACTGGTACTTTTCCATCACATTGTAGCCTATTGTTTTATACTTGTTAAATTTATATTTTGCAAAAAAAACCTTTAAGTAACTCTAAATTATGCAAAATTATTCTTTTTTTCTTGATAAAGAATATGCTTTTATGCCTTTCTTATAATTTTTTATTAAAACACGTCTTACTTTTTTGAGAGAATTTATATTATAGTTCTAGAGGTATTAATTAGTATTTTTAATTTAATAACCTTAAATTTAGTGAAAACCTAGGAAGCCAGAAATCTTGAATTATCTGTCATATCAGTATTTTATATATGAAAATCTTTATAATTTTTAAAAACATGTTTTTCTATAACAGAATTTTACGTATATTCATGGAACCAAATCTATTTAGTCTTTCTATATTATTTTAGAATCCAAGAAAAGAAACTTATATTTATGGTCAGAATTTTGTTTTATGATATTATTTGGAAATGACTCAGACATTTAATGAATATCATTTAAATCAATATAATATAACTTTAAGATTTCAAATTACATGAAAACTATATTTACAGACATTTACCTCATTTCTATTATCTAATTTATTCAATTTTTTACAGTTTACATAGATTAGTTATGAAAATTGAGATATGAAATAAAGCTAATCATCATTTCTAGTTATTTTCCTATTTGTATAACTTATGAATATCAGGCATGCACCTAAGTAGAAATCTTAAATTATATGAATATTTTGCTTATAACTTAGAAGATATAGCTATTTTTACTAAACAAACATTATTAAACTAGCCTTAATTATCAAAGAGTTGACAAAGATTATTCTGTTTTAGGCTGAGTTTATAGTTTTATAACCTTTGGGTCAAACCCCAACACCCTAAAACATCTAGCAAAGACAAATATAAAATTCTACCAGTACACCTGGGCAAAAACATATGTTGACAATTTCCTGATAATTTTAAAACCAGCTTATTTATTAAAGACGTACTTAAGTCACATGAACTAAAAAGCATTTGGGTTATTATACATTTTTTATGAGTGCTCATTTATCTAAGATATGTGAATAGAATTCCTTAAGAAATTTTTTGCCGCAGGGCACAGTGGCTCACACCTGTAATCCTAGAACTTTGGGAGGCCAAGGAAGGCAGATCACGAGGTCAGGAGTTCAAGACCCAGCCTGACCAATTGGCATGGTGAACCCCCATCTCTACTAAAAATACAAAAATTAACCAGGAGTGGTGGCGGCACGTGCCTGTAATCCCAGGAGGGTTACTCAGGAGGCTGAGACAGGAGAATCGCTTAAACCCAGGAGGCAGAGGTTGCAGTGAGCTGAGATAGTGCCACTGCAGTCCAGTCTGGGTGACAGAGTAAGACTCCATCTCAAAAAATAAAAATAAAAATAAGAAATTTTTTGCCAACTATGCCAGATTTTACCATGTAGAAACAACGTGCCACATAATACATGTTCATACACATATACGCACCTAAACACATATATGCACACACAAAGATGTGATAACTTTCCTCAATATGTAATCTAATGAAGGCTGCAGACCAAAATTTGGGTGAAGCAATTTATATAGTAGCTTGGGTTTTATTGTTGTTTGTTGGTTTGTTTGTTTTTCTTAGCCTCTTTAACATTTATATTTTATTTATTCAGTCTCAAATGAGTTTAGAGTTAAATTTTCAATTGTTTACATTGTAGCTAGGACTGGTTGAATTGTATTATAAAAACAAAATCTCCAGTGTTGAACTAGTAACAAATCTATCTTTTTTTATTTTATTTTAATTTTTTTTGCAGGTCTGTTTTGCTTGATTAACAAATGGAGACAAGAAAGAATTTTAGCAGGATTTGTTGTTTTTTTCGCAGGGGCTGGGGGGTTAGTCTTTGTGTGGCAGAAAAAGCAAATTTTTTATGCCAGACAAAGATGATTTATATTGTTTAGAGTTCAAGATTTTGACCTGTTAGACCTGAGAGCCTAACATTTATACATATTTATCTAGCTCTTTTTATAGATTATTAATTTTTCAATAAATTATTTCATCACCATAAACAAATTTTAGTCAGGTAAACCTAAATTTACATTTTCTAATGGTGTCTAGGTTGTTGGTTACCATGGAGCTCTTGTAATTTGTGAAGCTATTAATTTAAAAGCCCTTTAATACTTTTAAAAAAGTCTTGACTAGAATGCCACAAGCGGTGAGTTTTATGTCAACCCCAGTAGAAAAGTCAGCAGATTCAAAGTAGGCAGTAAGAAAAAACAAGAAAGAGAGACAGTGAACTTAGAAGTCTCTACATGCTTAGCATGGTAGTTGCAGATCTCTAAAAGAGTTTAAATAATGAACATTTGAGCTCTGAATTTTTCTTGATGTAACATTGCTTGTCAATTTTAAAATGTGCATAAGCATGAGCCATAAAATGTGGCTAGCTGGAGTCCCAAAAACCTGTCATGCCTTTATGTTTAAAAAACCCATTCTGTTTCTTACTCATCTCTTGAGAGCAAAGAAAATATTATCATTCCTATCAGGAAATGTCAGGAGTTTAGAGCAGTGTTTTAGATGGTAGCAATTGCACTAATGGCTTTTAATTAACCTTTCTGCACCCAACATTTGGAATATATTTTTGCTTTCAGAATAATTTTTTAAAAAGCAAGGGAAAAGAATCAAACCAAATCAAAAGAAACCAAGATAAGAGCATTCATAAAAATTTCAACCTCGGCGTAGAGATCAAACAAAATATTCAACTAAGCACAGAGACCAAAAGTGAATTCACCGCAAAAGACATGCCTTCTAGATAGAATGTAAATTCTGTAGAACCAGAGTACTCAATCCAGAAAGACACATGTCTTTACACCAGAAAAGATATACCACAAAAGACAAAAAGTATTTTATCACCCCAGGAGGGATGCATAGTCCCTTATTAGGTGACTTTATAAAAAAAAAAAAGATCCTGACTAATATAAAAAAGCCTCTACTAAAAGAGGCAGGCTCAGCCTAAGAGAAGACTCATCAGGGCAGAAAAGTGAGCCAAGGAAGTGGAGGAAAGCACAAGGGCCTCAAGTGAGCACTGCACATCAGTTCAAGAATCACCAGTTTCTTTGGATCATTATCTTTTTCGGGTTCTATTTGTGACACCATATATGTCAACCTAAATAACAAACACAGAGAGGCTATCTAAAAGAAAAATAGGTTTATCTGAGAATAGAGTGTTGCTGTGGGAATACAAATGCCACAGTAAACCGTATGCATATTCGGGGAGGTAATGGAAGACAAAGATTTTTTTAAAAATGAGAATTATGTGATTATTTTGAAATAATAATCTTTGGCTACATAGATTGATGACAAGGGTGATACCTGTTTTTTGTTGTTGTTGTTGTTGTTTTGTTGTTTGTTGGTTTTGCTGAAACATGCAGAGAATTTTTATTTATCACAAATGTTAATACTTATATTTACTTGCAGAACAGAGTCACAGAGAGATATGCAGGCAAGGTATTAGTGGGGTTCAAGGGTTTCGCACAACATTTAGTACACAGTAGGTTGCTCACTAAGGACTTGTCATATTTTGCTCAAATGCCAACTTTTGGTACCTTAGCTTGTCAATTAGTCATTTCTTATATAGATGATTTTTTGGATAATTGTCATACTACATTTTTACCAATTAAGGATTTCAGTCCATTTTTTATTATTTTTTTCAATCATAATTCAAGGTCAGGAAGTAGGAGCCCCATCCCCGCTCCCTTCCAGACAACAGAATAGTATTCTTACTAGGAGTTCCTAAGACCTAGCAATTCCAGCATGCGAATTGTGAGAGGACATAGCCAGGAAGATGAGAAACTGTAGCCATCATCCAGGGGTAATATATTCCATCTCTGTTGCTCCTTGCAGCCTGCAGGTCCTCTTCAGTGTCCTCTCCATTAAACCCATTAACATGTAGGATCCTCATCTGCTTCACATTGGTGCCTTTACCAGATTCTCCAGCACCCAGGAGTAGCAGGCGGTCCATGGCACGGTCGATGCTTGGCTGGACAGGCAGTTTCTGGGCAGGTGTCCTTGCAGAAGTACTCTTTTTCTGTAAAGTTGTGATGACCTTTGTGCAAGGTGTAGTTTTTGCAGTCTTTTATGATAGTTTTATCAGGAATACAAGCATGAGAAACCTCTCTTAATTCCCTCCGCTGGCTCTTTTTAAATTATTTTTTATGTATGTATGTATTTATTAATTATAGAGACATGGTCCCACCGTGTTGCCCACACTGTTTATGAACTCCTGGGCTGCAGAGACCCTCCTGCCTCAGCCTCCCAAAGTTCTGGGATTAAAGGCATGAACCACCATGCCCAGCCATATTTGTCACTTGTTTTTATTTAACACTAGTGACTTCATTTTGATTCCGGAAACTTTTATAAATGCAACCGATATTCATTTTAGTATTTCTCAACATAATCTACAAACAACCCACATTACAAGCGCTTGGGCTGCTTTAATGAAAGCAGATTCCTGGGGGCTGACCTGCAACCTCCTAAGTTAGAAACACTGGGGCGCTCTTAGGTGCAAAGAATTTGAGAACAATTTGTTACTTGAGTGTTTATAACATGCTAGGCACTGTATGTAGTCCTTACTTGAGTAAACTCCTTTAAACAACCCTAAAAAGAGATGAATTATCCCTATGTTACATATGAAGAAATTGAGGCTTTACATTGTTGACTAGTGATGGAGAACTTGAATCCTTCTTAGTTGTTGAAAGACAAATGCTTTTTCAAGGATATCCCATCTGTCTCTAGTGTGAGCAGTCAGCTCTGATTTCTTAGGCATGCTTCCTAAACGTCATGACATATAATGACAGGCAATCTGTTGCTCAGATGAAAAACAATTTCTTCACAGACACTCCTTTTGGGAAAACAAATATTTGTTTAGGCTGACTATATTGTGGACTGATTTCTTTGTTTGTCCCTGCATCTGTCTGCAAAATACACAAATGACCTGGGATTGCTGGTGCTGGGAAATGAATGTGGAATACCAAACAATTCTGTAGTGGTTTTAGGGTATAATGACATCATTAGAGGACACCCAGAATATCAATTCTCTTGACTTGTTTGTCTTCTGAGTCGGGGTTACCCATTTGTTTATTCCATAAATATTTATTGTACATCTATTATGTGCCAGGTACTATTCTAAGAAGTGGAGATATGTAACATGCAACAGAAACAAAAATCCTTGCTCTACACTATGGGCTTCTATCTCCGCTTTACCCCAGTGACCCAGTAAAAAAAAGTAAATAGAGAGCTGTACGTACTGCCACAGGTAATTTGACCATTTAGCAACATTTTCCAGTTATTTTGCATTTCTTTACACAATTCCTGGAAAAGCCTATGAAGATGCATAAAGTAAAATGCAAAGTTTTGAAGTAGTGGAGTCTCAATAAATGAAAACATCCTTTAAAGAGTGGTTCTTTCTTTATTTTATATTCAATATGTTTTATTCAATTATGGTCATTATACTTTTAATATGAAATTGTCTAAAATGCACCCAGTGGAAACTTCTTCAAGCTAGCTTCTGGGTCATTTAAACATGTCCCTATAATTTTTGAATATTTTCTTAGTTTCTGCCACAAGATGTCCCAGACTCATCTTATGCAATCCTTGACCAAAACTTGGGAGTTTCAAGGAGTTCTGGGTCCTTCCAGTGGAAAAATGGTATTTAGTTACCAAAACTTGTGTTTTGTGTGTGCTTATAGCTGCTGGGTTTTCTTTTCCTTTCTTTTTTTTTCTTTATTTTACTTTAAGTTCTGGGATACATGTGCAGAACGTGCAGGTTTGTCTTACCTAGGAATACATGTGCCGTGGTGGTTTGCTGCACCTATCAACCCGTCATCTAGGTTTTAAGCCCCACATGCATTAGGTATTTGTCCTAATGCTCTCCCTCCCCTTGCCCTCCAACCCCCAACAGGCCCCAGTGTGTGATGTTCCCCTTTCTGTGTCCATGTGTTCTCGTTGTTCAACTCCCACTTATGAGTGAGAACATGTGGTGTTTGATTTTCTCTTCCTGTGTTAGTCTACCAACAATGATGGCTTCCAGCTTCATCCATGTCCCTGCAAAGAACATGAGCTCATTCTTTTTTATGGATACATAGTATTCCATGGTGTATATGTGTCACATTTGCTTTATCCAGTCTATCATTGAAGGGCATTTCTTAAGTGTGTGGTTGGATTTATTATTATCACAAAGATAAGAGGACTACTGGATATTTAGTATTTAGTAGACAAGTATGAACACATCCTGCATCCATAGGGACAGCCTTATGCAAAGAAAAATGTTGCACTCACTACATCCAGACTCCCAATGCGTATTTGTGCATTAGAAAATATTGTTATAATTACATCAGTTTGAAATCTACTCTGCTCTACAGACAAAGAAAACATATTTTGCAAGGTTCTCCTATATAACAATTTAATAAAACCAAGGAAAGATTGTCATTTATTTTGTTTGAAACTTCATCAAGACTTGACCAACTTGTCAGGAAAACATCACCAATGTCAATGTGACTCCTGATATTTGAGTCACCAACACATTAATGATGATTCTACGTGTGTTGATTTTACTATCTATGTCCCACCAAGTGATCCAGCATTTATATATTGAATATTCAAATTATTTTATAATAAATCCTATATTATAATTATTTCATATAATAATTGTATTATGAATTATTTTTCTTTCATATCTCTTTTACATTAGACTTAGGATAGTTTACATACACATATATACATGTTTATACTTAGGTTACATTAACTACACATATTATTTCAAGAATCTAAAGGAAGCATTTCTAAATGTTTGTTTGACAAGAAGATTTTTCCAATGTGATAGCATTCAGAACTATTGCTATAGACAATATCGACTTGGGCTAACTGTCCTTTTAAGTACTATGTTCATGGCTAGTTATAGAGGCTGAGAGATAATGCTGAGTCTCAACATTTTATACCCCAAATACCCATAAAAACATCACACATTTTTTACTTGGCAGAAACAGATAAATTCATTGGTCTTTACCTGAGCTTCGCACTAATTCTCAACCTGATTCCTTCCCTGGAATTTATGATAAATGTACCAAAGACTCCTACAGAGTAACTAAGCAGATAATTTTTTCTGTGGTTGTGGAAAAATACAGTGTTACCACCTTCTAAACCATAGGGTCCTTCCCAGTTTTCATAGGCTCTGAATAATTTGTCCATCCATAGCTGGGAACAGGAAAAGGATTTTTTTTTTCTCTCAGTGTCTACATTAGTTGAGCTCTTTCCTAGTTTGTTTTTATCCCATCATCTAGTTTTATTTTGTTATTAGCATTTAACATTAATTGACACTGTACCTATTTGTTTTTTTATGTAACTCTCCCTTCTAGAATAAAAGCTCAGTAGGATAGGAGTCAGCCCTATCATCTTCACCGCTATATCCCACTGTCTGGAATAGCACACAGGGCTCAATAAATATTTTGTTTTTCAAGAAAAAATTAATAAACATTTCAATTAAGGCTTTTCTGTTATCAAATGCATTTTATTGCAATAAATATATTGAAGCTCAGAAAACTCCCATCACCTGCCCAAGGCAGCCAAAATTTATGCTTAGTGTTGATTATATGTCAGGTGCTTAGCATAGAAAATGCCATCATTTGGTATCGGTTGAGGCAATTAAACTCTTTTCTACTCTATTTGTAGGCGTGGTATCCATAAGCCATGCAGAGGAGCAATCACACAGTGACTGAGTTCATCCTGCTGGGCTTCACCACAGATCCAGGGATGCAACTGGGCCTCTTTGTGGTGTTCCTGGGTGTGTACTGTCTGACTGTGGTAGGAAGTAGCACCCTCATCGTGTTGATCTGTAATGACTCCCACCTACACACACCCATGTATTTTGTCATTGGAAATCTGTCATTTCTGGATCTCTGGTATTCTTCTGTCTACACCCCAAAGATCCTAGTGACCTGCATCTCTGAAGACAAAAGCATCTCCTTTGCTGGCTGCCTGTGTCAGTTCTTCTCTGCCAGGCTGGCCTATAGTGAGTGCTACCTACTGGCTGCCATGGCTTATGACCACTACGTGGCCATCTCCAAGCCCCTGCTTTATGCTCAGACCATGCCAAGGAGATTGTGCATCTGTTTGGTTTTATATTCCTATACTGGGGGTTTTGTCAATGCAATAATATTAACCAGCAACACATTCACATTGGATTTTTGTGGTGACAATGTCATTGATGACTTTTTCTGTGATGTCCCACCCCTCGTGAAGCTGGCATGCAGTGTGAGAGCTACCAGGCTGTGCTGCACTTCCTTCTGGCCTCCAATGTCATCTCCCCTACTGTGCTCATCCTTGCCTCTTACCTCTCCATCATCACCACCATCCTGAGGATCCACTCTACCCAGGGCCGCATCAAAGTCTTCTCCACATGCTCCTCCCACCTGATCTCCGTTACCTTATACTATGGCTCCATTCTCTACAACTACTCCCGGCCAAGTTCCAGCTACTCCCTCAAGAGGGACAAAATGGTTTCTACCTTTTATACTATGCTGTTCCCCATGTTGAATCCCATGATCTACAGTCTGAGGAATAAAGACATGAAAGACGCTCTGAAAAAATTCTTCAAGTCAGCATAATCCAAAGTCTGAATTGCCATAATGTTCTCAAATCAATGCTAAGTGATGACAAACTGCTCAGAGAGGTTACAGAACTGGATTTTTATTTCTTTTTTACCATTGAACAAAATTCAACAAGAAAAATTGTGTTTCTTTGTGTTTCGTTTGTTTGTTATGATTTTGAGATCAGACTATAATATATACTACAGTATTGTAGATTCAATTGAATACTGATACAGTTTTTAAAATTCAGTATCTCCGATTAATGCAAAATGGAAAAGTAATTATTCTGATATCCTAAAGTGAAATTAAATTTTTACGATGTTCTTTCCCATAATATTGACCCAATTATTTTTCCTACATAGTGACTATTATGGAGATGAAAAGAAAACATAATATGGATCATTGATATTTGCGGGATACACCCCAAATCCTTCTAGTCAAGTACTCAAACAGCTTCCTTTGTGATAGAGGAATAAGAATGTTAAGATTATTTTGATGGAAAGAGGTAGGATGTGTTGGAAAATAAATGCAGCTGAAGAGAAAGTTGAGAAATGTCAAGTAAAGACAAATGAAATGGCTACAACTATTTGTCCTAAATTTTCAAAATTTAATTAATTTTTTAAATGTGCTAATTCCAGCAAATGTTATAACCTTTCCTCAACAAAGTTGCTAACCTCTGAGCTGCAAGCTTGTGATTTGAAAATTGTAACCATTAATCCTTAACTTGCCATCTTCTAAAGGCTACTAAATGAAATATCAACCCAACCTGCCATCACAAGGGGGTTCAGTTATGGAGTTTATATCAGGGTTTAGGGAATTGGGCTCGAGGCCAAGGCTAGTTTCCATGTGGTTAGCAACATGTTTGATTTTTCAGGGTTTCAGGCATCGATCTAAACAAGTTTACCAGTTCTTAGGAATGTTCAAGGCCCAGGCTAGGTTCAGGCCAGGGACAAACATGCAGCTTATGTCTTTTGGTCAGGACAAAGGAAAGAGAAAGGTAACTAGGGAACAGTGGTTACTATTGTTGTTCATTTGTTTTATTTCGTTTGATGTTGTCACATCGCTGTGTGACCTGAGAGAGAGTACTGCGGAGTACTCACTCCTTGTAAGAGAGAAGACTGTTAGGATGATATGCAATTCTAAAGACACATATTTATTCATTAATTTTGAGATAGTTTTTTGTTGTCATTGTTGTTTGTAATCTGAACAACTCTTAAACATCTTCCTAATATTCTCTTTATGTAGAAGGCATGAGTTTTACAAAGATACTCCCTATATGCTCAATTAGAGCTTTCTGAAGAAATTTTGAGGAAATGATTTTCTTAAAATAAATATTTGTAAAATCTTGAGCATATTTCCAGAAGCCTCACCCTTTCAGATATTCTTGTCACCTAGTAAAGATTGCTTACCAAACTTCAAAGTCAAACTATATTCATTAACCCACGTAATTTATTTTGTTCCCCAAGATCTCCCAAAGGGAGCAAACACAATGAAATCTATGAAAGATTTAATGCTGCCAAGGCAAAATACCATATTGCAGAATGCCAAACAACCCAATATTATAAGTTTTAAATATTACTTTGTTTTGTTTACATCATAACAAACGAATAACAAGGAGTCATGTGGTCAATATTTTAATGTTTTAAATATGACTTATTGAACTTAATTGAACTACAGAAATGCAAATGAACACATTTATAAGCCAATAATCTGGAAAATTCAATAACAGCATTTGCAAAGAGAATAACCTTCATGTTTGTGGTTGTATAGTCTGTGTTGCTTTCCTGAAGGCCTCTTTGATATCTTTGTTTCTCAGGCTATAGATGAGAGGGTTGAGCAGTGGGTTGATCACGGTGTAGAACAGAGCAGCTACTTTGTCCCTCTCTAGGGAGTAGGTGGAACTAGGCCTTGAATACATAAACAACAATGATCCATAGAAGAGCATGACTGAGATGAGGTGGGAAGCACAGGTGGAGAATGCCTTGTGTCTTCCTGAAGCTGAGTGGATTCTCAGGATAGCCAGGAGGATGTTGACATAGGAAATCAGGATAGCAAGAATGCTGGAGAGTACTGTGAAGCCCACCACACCAAGCAGGACTTTTTCGTAGACCCTGGTGTTTGTACAGGACATTTTTACCAATGGTGGTGCATCACAGAAAAAGTGGTCAATGATATTTTTACCACAAAAATGCAGGCGGAATGTATTGGCAGTATGGGCTATGGCATTCAAAAATCCTCCTATGTAGGAGCCAGCAACAAGCCCAGTACAGAGGGCGGTGGACATGGTACCTGAATAAAGCAATGGGTTACAAATTGCTGCATGGCGGTCATATGCCATGGCTGCCAGGAGATAGCATTCAGTGTAGGCTACAACACAGGAAAAAAACAGCTGAGCCCCACATCCAGCCAAGGAAATGCGCTTATCTTCTGAGACACAACTGGCCAGGATTTTGGGGGTATACACAGAGGTATACCAGAAATCCAAAAAAGACAGATTGCCAATGAAAAAGTACATAGGTGTATGCAAGTGGGAATCAGTTCGGATTAAGATAACCAAGGTCATGTTTCCTGACAAGGTTATCAAATAGAGCATCAGAAACACTCCAAATAGAATCGGCTGCCACTGGGAATCTGCTGAGAAACCCAACAAGATGAATTCAGTCAGGATGGTGCAATTTCCCACTTCCATGTCCACGGAGGTGAAAGCCTGACTATCATGAGAAGGGAAAATCATCACTTAGTGTTTTTTCTATTCACACAAGTTGACAAGGGTATCAATTAAATCAACAATTACTAAGAAGCTTGTAGATTTTTCTCCCTTACTATCTAGAATTATAGGACTTCAGTCCATGATTTGGAAAAATTACTGGAATTGGAGTCAAAAATAATTTGAAAATTAGGAATTTTATTTATTAACTATTTAATGCAGGACAAGACCCATATTCTCATCAAACATGAAAAAAAAATGAAACTCACAAGGATAACTAATTACTTCTTCTTTTTTTTTTGAGATGGAATCTCACTCTGTCACCCATGCTGGAATACAGTGGCGTGATCTCCATTCACTGCAACTTCTGCCTCCTAGGTTCAAGCAATTCTCCTGCCTCAGCCTCCTGAGTAGCTGGGATTACGGGCACCTACCACCACACCAACTCTACTAAAAATGGTGTTTTACCATGTTGGCCATGCTCGTCTCAAACTCCTGACCTTAGGTGATCCACCCGCCTCAGCCTCCCAAAGTGCTGGGATTACAGGCGTGAGCCATCGCACCTGGCCGACTAGTAACTTCTTGACAGACTGTCTGATTGAATAAATAAAACATACATAAAAATAACACAGCCCAATATTGGGTACATTAGTGGGCACTCAAAAAATTTCACTATCTTTCTATAAGTTATTGAAAACTTCTTACGTGTCAAGTATTTGTATTGTTAAGTATTAGATTATTAAAGTTGCTATTTATATTACAAATATAAATACATTATGACCATGTACCAGTTACTATTCTAAGTCTTATACCTAACCCCTTGAGTCTTGGATGGCTTGGTGGTTTGCTTTGGCCAATAGATTGAAAGATAGGCAGCTCCATGTGGATTCAAAGCCTGGATTTCAAGAAGCTTTTTATGTTTCTCTTCTCACTTTTAAAATCCTACCACCACCATGTAAATAAGCCTGGGTTAGTTTGCTGGATAAGACATCTGGCTGCGCTCACTCTGTCACCCCAGCTGACTGCAAGTTGTCCCCCAAACATGCAGGTGGGGCCCTTCTATATGATCCAGCCTACAGTGGCGCTAAGAGCTACCCACAGACATGAGCACGCCCAGGTGAGAAAAGACAGGTCTGGCATAGGCAGAATTGCCCAAGTGATATGGCATCTGAGTTCAAACCCAGACCTTCTTACTTGGTAGTTCCATAATCTTGGAAAAGTATCTTAACAATTCCCCACCTACGTGTATTTACCTCCAAAAGGGCGAGAAAACATCCATGTTAAGAAAACAGCCCATTTTCTGGACAGAACATCAATCTACAAAATTTTAACTATCATTATTCTGAATGGGAGGATAATTATCTAACTTAATTATAAATTCTGAGCTTGCAAAACATAAATAAATAGACTAAGTTTATACAAATAAGCAATTTCAGCCAGAATAGTGGTATCGTCCAGTATCTTGCTAAAATCCTAGAATTTAATATTTTTGTCAACTATTTCCATGTAACTTGGCAAAGGAGTTATAGGGTTTAGGATTGTGGGGTCCAATATTTGGTACATATCCCTGACACTAATCACTGTATGATTTAGGAAAGTAATACCTCATCTCAGGAACACAATTCACCCATCTGAAAATTTTGGTTGATCCTATTCTCAGCACCAAACTTCCATGATTCCAATTTGCTAAAATCTCTTATAGAAATTGTTACGTGCCAGGTGCGGTGGCTCACACCTGTAATCCCAGCACTTTAGGAGGCTGAGGCAGGAGGATCACTCAAGGCCAGGAGTTCAGAACCAGCCTGACCAACATAGCAAAATCCTGTCTCTACTAAAAATCAGCCAGGCGTGGTGGTACACGGCTGTAATCCCAGCTACTTGGGAGGCTGAGGCAGGAGAATCGCTTGAACCCAGGAGGCAGAGGTTGCAGTGAGCTGAGATTGCACCATTGCACTCCAGCAAGGGTGACAGAGAGATACGCTGTCTCAAAACAAAAAAAAAAAAAGAAGGAAAAACTTTCATGAAACAATAGATAGCCTCACTTGTTGCAATACAGTGTGGCAGAGCAGATTAACAGTCCTTACATACACACGTATCTTGGGATACACAGGACATTACCACTGTCTTGGTTGAAGTGAGAAATAAAATTTGCTGAAGACAACTGCACCCTTCTTTTCATCTCAAGATTTGCATACACATTCTTGTGTCCTTAAAATACAATCCTATGGGCCGGGCGCGGTGGCTCACGCCTGTAATCCCAGCACTTTGGGAGGCCGAGGCGGGCGGATCACAAGGTCAGGAGATCGAGACCATCCCGGCTAAAACGGTGAAACCCCGTCTCTACTAAAAATACAAAAAATTAGCCGGGCGTAGTGGCGGGCGCCTGTAGTCCCAGCTACTTGGGAGGCTGAGGCAGGAGAATGGCGTGAACCCGGGAGGCGGAGCTTGCAGTGAGCCGAGATCCCGCCACTGCACTCCAGCCTGGGCGACAGAGCGAGACTCCGTCTCAAAAAAAAAAAAAAAAAAAAAAAAAATACAATCCTATGAAGTTGTGCATATTTTCTAAACACTGCATTTCTTAATTTCTTTATCTGCAAATAATTAATGGCTCAAATTTTTTGACTCATGAAGCTCTTTGAGAACTTGATAAACTCAGCAATGATAATTCTCAAATATGAATATGTACATATGTAAAAACACGCAAAATTTTAATGGGTTCACAAACTCCCAAAAATCTATTAGTTTGCCGGTTATTATTTCAGATTTAAAAATTCTACTAATGGAAGATGACTAAGTTTGGTCGGGTGCTAATATGCTGTAATAAGAGAGGAGTAATAGGTAATTAAAACTAATCATGTTTAAAGTTGAATTCCTAATCTGCAGTTCCAAAAATTGATTTTTTCATTCCCCATATTGGTTAATAAGATTTTACTCTTCCAGGATCTGAAGTCAAAAATTTGGAATCAGTCTACCCTGTTTCTTTCCTATCTACTTTTCCAAATTTCAGAAAATTGCAATTTTCCTACCTTCAAAATGTATCCTGAATCTGACCACTTCTCCCCACCTCCACTGCTACCACTCTGTTCAAACCACTATGATCTACTGCCAAGAATATTGCCATCACTTTCTAACTCATCTACACCCTTGTTCCCTATGGTATATTTTCAATACAACAGCCAGTGTAGGCCATTAAACAAATAAATAAGTTGCTTCTGTATTTAAAACCCTGTAAAGGCTCCCAATTTATTCCAAGTTAAAACCCGTAATCTGTCTCTCCCTTACCTAAAGAACCTTATCTCCTAACACTCACCACACTGACCTCCTCCTTCCTTCTGCCCTAGCCTCAATGGCTTTCTCACTTTTTCTCAAATGTGCCGTCTCTGTCCCAGCATCAAAGATTTATTATTATTATTATTATTATTATTATTATTATACTTTAAGTTCTAGGGTGCATGACTGTCTGTTCCCTCTGCCTGGAACACTATACTCCAGATGTTTTCATGGCTCACTCCTTCATCTTCTTTAAGTTCCTTTCAAACGTCACATTCTGACAAAGGTGAATGTGACATTTTAAATTCCATGCCCCTTTTAAATTCCATGCCCCTTTCCTTCCGACAATCTTCACCCTTATTACTCTACTCCAATTCTACTGTGTTATCCCCCTCATCTATTGTCATCCTCTAACTCCTGTTTATTAAATCTATTGCCTGCTTCTTCTCACCAGAATGCAACATCTATACAGCAAAATATTTCTCTGTCTTGTTTATTGCTGTATTCCAGCACAAAGAACAGTTCCTAGTCATGAATTAGCACTCAGTAAATATTTCTAGAGTGAGTAATTGGTTAATTACCTTCATATCTTGAAGCTGGTTTAGCAAAGTACTTTCTATTTCTTTTTTTTTTTCTTTGAGACGGAGTCTCACACTGTCACCCAGGCTGGACTGCAGTGGCACAATCTCCACTCACAGCAACCTCTGCCTCCCAGGTTCAAGTGATTCTCCTGCCTCAGCCTCCCAAGTAGCTGGGATTACAGACACCCACCACCATGCCTGGCTAATGTTTTGTATTTTTAGTAAAGACAGGGCTTCACTATGTTGGCCAGGCTGGTCTTGAACTCCTCACCTCGTGATCCGCCCTCCTCAGCCTCCCAAAGTGCTGGGATTACAGGCTTGGGCCACCGTGCCCAGCCAGTACAGTCTATTTCTAACCTGGTTCAAAATATTCAGAACAAGATCTATCCTCAAGTGGACTTTCCCAGCACAGTGTACTGTATCAAAATAAGAAAGAAGAGTAAATAAAAGAGAAGTCTCACTTCCGAGACCTAATTTGAAACAAGTTACCAAGTATCTGTGAATGTGAAATAAAAGGCACAGAAAATGTCTGAGCCAATCATGCTAAAGAATCTTCTATAGAAATGGCCTATCAAGATGCATCTTCCCCTGCAGCAGCCCAGATCTCTGATCCCTTCACTAGAGCAAGAAAAACTCTTTGGTAGGAATGTGCCTTCCTGGCATCTCAAAATTAATACCAAGAAGTGAAAATGCCATACACTAGTAGTTTAGAGTAGCACAATCACTGGGGTCAAAAAAGCAAGTCACATTTTTTTGTCCTCTTGATTTTTTCACTGTGTGAGTGAATATATGATGGCCCAGCATAGATACAAGACTGAGTTTCAAATTCTACGTGAGAGCAGGATGTATCACTGAATGGAATTTGATTTACTAGGGAGTCTGCACGTGCACCTGTGTGCATGTGTGGTGCAGCAGTAAATCGTTTGACAGCCGTGCCAGATTCTGTATCCCCCTTCTGATTTGCAGCTGAGGTCAGAGAAAGGCCAGACTTCCTATTTGCCCCTGATCCCAGGTGCTTACCCTTGGTTTGGAAGGCCAGCTCTTGGAAGTCACACTTTTCCCTCTCTTCTGGTGTTTAATGTGCCTTTGTTGCACTCAATATATGTATGTCCTCAACAGCCCTTTGAGACACCTCCCTCACACCAGCACAGAAATACGTACCTCTGTCTCCAAAGACTCAATTAGAGTTCATCTGGAGTTTGGGGATGTTAAATAAATTAGAAAATGATGAAATGAGGAATATTTCATTAAAAGTTGACTCTCTTAATGGATCTAACTCATAATATAATCCTGTTATGTTGGGTCTGTCTTATAATTGAATTTTTCCAAATTGTACTAATTAGACTTTTCTAAAAAGTATCATGTGGTCTATATTTTTTTTCCATGTCACACGCTCTTTTCTCTGTCCAGGCTACTCGCTCTTGTCTCCTCCACCGGCAATCTACTACCTATCCCACACATGCACAATGGTCTGAATTGTGTCTTTTGGAAATCCATTTGTTGAAGCCCTAACTTACTGTACCTTAGAATCTGACTATATTTGAAGATGAGATCTTTAAACAAGTGATGAAGTTAAAATGAGGCAGTTAAAGTAGGCTCAATCCAATCTGACTGGTGTCTTTATAAAAAGGAAAGTTGAACATACACAAGAAACCAATCCTGCCAGCACCTTCAACTTGGGCTTTTAGCCCTCAGAACTGTGGGAGAGTAAATTTCTGTTTTGTAAGCCATCCAGGCTGCACTATTTTGTTATAGCAACACTTGCAAACTGATACACTCAATTACCAACACTATTTTGGTAAAACCTCATGTTTTATTTGTAAAAAGACTACTATAACCAGGAAATTTGATATGTCATGGTGAAATTGTCTCTAATTTTTAATTAATTTATAACATAACATTAAAAAAAACATACAAAAATTCATATATACTTGATTGTTATCAGTCATTGTTTTCCTGGTAAAGATTTTCATTCTAAATCTTCCCTCGGATATAAAGTTTTCTGAAATCTCTCTCTGGTCCTACTTCTCGATCTGTTTCTATGTCCTACCTACATCTCCCTTTCTGCCTGTCTCATACAACTGCTGCACTACTGTCCTTAATTCTTTCATTGTTAAGGAAAATACTCTTTTATTGAAAGTGCATGGTGGTTCTAAGTATTGATATTCATTCTCTATTTTGTCTATTGCTAAGGAAATCTGTCATCTTTGCATCATGCAAGCTAAAAAATGAGAGCCAGAAACGAAAAAAACAAACTTGTTTCTAGGAGAACTTTATGGTAGATACTCTTTTTTTTTTCTTTTCATTTTTGTTTTTTAATTTTAAATTCTGGTCTACATGTGCAGGATGTGCAGGTTTGTTATATAGGTAAACATGTGCCATGGCTGTTTGCTGCACCTATCAACCCATCACCTAGGTATACATATACACCAGGGAATACTATGCAGCCATAAAAAGGAATGAGATCATGTCCTTTGCAGGGACACGGATGAAGCTGGAAGCCATTATCTTCAGCAAACTAATGCAGGGACAGAAAACCAAACACCACATGTTCTCACTTATAAGTGGGAGCTGAACAATGAGAATCCATGGACACAGGGAGGGGAACAACACACACTGGGGCCTGTCGGGGTAGGGCAGCGAGGGGAGCACACCAAGACAAACAGCTAATTCATACAGTAGATGTCGCAACAAGAAGCTGCAACAAGACTGGCACATAACTCTGTAGACGTGGCTTGGGATTAAAGCAGGGGCTTGGAGATTGCCTCATAGCAGTCATAACCCATGGCAGCCAGGAGGTAGCGCTCACTACAGGCCAGCCCATATCTACTATAGGGCAGTAGATACTTTTTGTGTGACTTCCTAACTCACTCTCTCATCTAACAAGTGAGGTAAATACCTTTGTTTTTTGTTTTCATTGTTATTTTTTGTAAGTTCTGGGTTTGCATTCTTTTTTCAAACCAATGACCCTCATTATTTCAAGTAAATCACTTAATCTATTTAATCTTAACAATGATTACATAACAAGTTATATTATTCTCATTTATTGTATAAAATGCTATAGACGTAGGCAACTTATGAAATGTCAAATGAAAAAAAAATTTAATCTGCTTTCTTTCAATATTCTCAGACCCCTTAACAATTTTATAGATTCCGTTCCAAGCTACCATGCATAGTAGCTTTTGCAAATGCCCCAGCCTCATTTATTTAAAAAATACATTCCAATACCTTAGCTCCAACTTAAAAACAAAAATGCAGACTTCCGTTTCCAAGTTATAAAATTATTTTATCTTTTATTTATTTCTGAGAATATAAGCTGAAAACAATGACGTGGAGATAATCTGTTAAAAATTGTTTACCAATATTTTTCTTTAAGAAACTGAAGTCTATCTAACATTTTCTTCAAGGCATCTTTGACATCCTTATTTCTTAAGCTATAGATCAAGGGGTTTAGCATTGGAATCACCACAGTATAGAACACTGACCCCAATTTATCCATTTTTAAGGCATAGCTAGTTCTTGGTTGGGAGTAAATAAAGAAGATTGCACCATAGTACAAGGTGAGAGCCGTCAGGGGAGACCCACAAGTGGAGAAGACCTGGAGGCGGCCCTTAATGGAACGGATCTTCGAGATGGCTGCAATGATGAAGAGATGGACGCAAGAATAAGTGCAGTGGGAGTGATGATTGGAGGCAAGCATAAAATGCAGCACAGCCTGGTAGCGCTCCTTCACATCACACACCAACTTTACAAGTGGGGGCAGATCACAGAAGAAATCATCAATGATATTGCTGCCACAGAAGCTCAAGGTAGGTGTCTCACTGGTGATGATGGTTGAGTTTACAAAGCCGCCAAGGTGTGAAGCCTCAACAAGACTGGCACATAACTCTGGGAATGTGGCCCGGGAATAAAGCAGGGGCTTGGAGATTGCCATGTAGCGGTCATAAGCCATGGAAGCCATCATATAGCACTCATTTTAGGCCAACACAGCAGAGAAGAACTGAGCAAGGCAGCCAGGAAAGGAGATGGTTTTGTCATCAGAAATGCAAGTCAGCAGGATATCGGGGATGTGGACAGAGGAATACCAGAGATCCAGAAGGAACCGGTTTCCAGTGAAGAAATACATGGGTGTGTAGGGCCAAGAATCAGCACAGATGAGAGAATTCAGAATGATGTTGCCTGAGAGGCTGATGACATAAATGATGAGAAAGATGAAAAAGAGCACTTGCTGTAACCCCAAATCTTCTGTGAACTCTAAAAGGATAAACAGTAAAAAAAGTAATCTTATTATGCTAACCACATTTTATAATATCATTGGAAGTACATTATTCTATAATTTCTTTGGAGTAAATAATTGTATTTCATTCAAATTTTTGTTCACAAAACTAAGAATACAAGTTTGCATAAAGTAGAACGTATGTAATTTGAATAAAAAGAACAGATGTGCTTACAAAATGGTATTTTCAAACCACAGCTACCTTCGTGACCCTAAAATGTGTCTGGAAATGAAATAAAAGTATTAATCATTGGAAAATTGTGTTCATAATTTGGGTTGAATTTCCTACAGAATTAATAGGTTTTTTTTAAAAAGAATGAAACTACCTAAAATGAATTGTTTGTGAAAGTATGATAGAAGGAATAATGACCCACAAATATACTCATTTTCTAATTCCAGGAACCTGGGAATATTACTTTACATGGGGAAAGGGTCTTTCCATATGTTATTAAGAGAATTGAGATGGGGATATTATCAGGGTGGGCACAAAATGTAATTACAAATATCCTTACAAGAGGGAGGCAGAGGGAGACTTGACTCAGAAAAGGAGGAGGTAGTGAGTGTGATCATGGGAGAAGAGGTTGGAGTAATGCAACCACAAGCCAAGTCATGCCAGCAGCCACAAGGAGCTGAAATAGAAAAGGAATGGATTCTCCTTTAGAACATCTGGACAGAGCACGACCCTGCCGACACCTTGATTTTGGCCCAGTGGTACTGACTTCAAACTTCTGAACTACAGAACTGTAGAAAACAGATTTTTGTTGTTTGAAGCCAGGAAGTTTGTGGTTATTTGTTACGGCAGTAATAGGAAACTAAATAGAAAGTTATGGAAACAACCCCAGAGTCTTCTTTCCCTCAGAGGTGGGAGCTGGAGAGGACTGTTGCCAGTCATGAGGGACACAATGTCACTTAGAGGGCCCCTACTACCACCTACCACAATCAAAGAAGGGTGACATTATGATTGCCAGTGTTCTGGGTTGGCAAGAGCTGTTAAATTTCTGCTAGAAGAGCCAAGGCTTTACAAGTCTCCATTTCTAGGAAAAGAAAACACAACAACCTAGTCTTGGCTATTTTGCTAAGACATGGACTTAACATTGAGCTAGAAAAATAAAAAATAAAAAGCGTTTTCTTGGAACTGTACTTATATGATGAAAGACAATTTATTTTCACTAGGCTTTTAAGAATCTATTTTTTATTTAAACAAATATCAATGCTACATTTATTGTCAAAGTACAAGTTATTCATATAAACAAAGAGGATTGGATTAAATAATATTTGGGTTGTCTTTGTGTATCGAGGTAAAGTTCTAAGGTTGTTTTTAACAAAGCGTGTTCCTAGAAACAGCTTAGTACCAAGAATCAGGAGACCTGGATTCTGAATTTAGTGAGCTGCTGCCAATATTGAAGAAACTGGACACTTCCAGAACTCTTTTTTTCTTACCTGCCTTTCTTAGTTCAACAGGACTTTATGACATTACAGATGTGAGAAAGCACTTTGAAAATTAGAAGTTAAACCTACGTATTGCATTCCCTAAACTATGTGATTTGTTCATCTCAGCGATCCATCCCTCAGATACATTTGCTTTACCTCCCAAGGATCTCCAGTTGCTCCCACGCTATGAGTGCCTAGATTTTCATGTGTTCTCCTGCAGAAACTACACTTTCTGTGGCTTTTAGAAAAGCTGGGTAATTCATTTCTGGACCTGTTCTCAAAATTCCGATTGAGAATGAAAGTTGTAAGAGGCATTTCTTCTCTAGCCTCTCATTTTCATCTATGGTTGGTTATTAATGTATAAAATAAGCATAAGTATAAATGTATGCACATATTCATATATAATTCAATGATTTTACAAATAAAAATGGTTGAAGGTGGCTGAGTGTGACACATAAGACACATTAAGCCATCTTCCATATTTACATAGGTAAATAAATCGAGAAGATGCAAACAGAAAAAAAATAGAACTAAACGTAAAATTCAGGCAGGGATAAAACGTATTGCACATGAACATGTCATATTCACTGCTCTGTGTAGACCACAAATTCGACTCAACATTTCTCATAGTTCATATAAACAATTAGTAGTATCCAAAGACAAGCAAAATGAATCAAAATTTCAGCAAACACTGCCATTTTTAATTCTTTTTTTTTTTTTTTTTTTTTGAGACAGAGTCTCACTCAGTTGCCCAGGCTGGAGTGCACTGACATGATCTTGGCTCCCTGCAACCTCCACTTCCTGGGTTCAAGCGATTCTCATGCCTTAACCCCCCATGTAGCTGGGACTACAGGCATGTGCCACAAGACCTGGCTAGTTTTTGCCTTTTTAGTATTTTTTGCCTGGCTGTTTTTTGCTATGTTGGCCAGGCTTGTCCTAAACTCCTGGCATCAAGTGATCTACCAGCCTTACCCTCCCAAAGTGCCAGGATTACAGGCGTGAGCCACCACACCTGGCCCATTCTGCCATTTTCGATATTAACTTTGAAATCATTCTTCCAAAGATTCCTTGTAAAGAGAATGATTAAATGCAATGCATAACACATTGAATAAATACATACACACACACACACACGAAAGAGTTTTCTTAAGCTAAACTTACTTGTCATTCATTCATAGACTTAAAGCTGGCTGCATCCATTGCTGAAATCAAGGCATGCTTAGAAAACTTCTTCCCACAAATCATCTCTCTCATCTTCAACTATCTGACAGCTTCTTTCATCAGGAGGATTTTTTAAGTAAATAACTCTGGGAGTGGTCACACCAAAAGGAGCTGAACTCTTAGTGATTGCTCAGTCCTCTCCAGGCTTAATGCACCTGCAGTCTGTGCAATTCAGTTTGGTACTTTTTCAGATGCTGCTTTAGCTATATATTAATTATAAATGTAAATGTATAGTATGTTTCCCAAAAAACATATATATATAAATATAAAGAAAAAGAAATACTTGAAAGTCATGACAATATTGACCTCTTGTAAAAAAAAATCTGTCAAATAACCATTTAACTACCTGTTTCACTGAAAGAGAAAATAAAGTCTGAATAAAAGACATTTGAGGACACTTCAGCTGTCTTCATCAAATAATATATATTATACATAGTTTTCTCACCCCTCTTTTTTTTTTCTTTCTTTAGTTTGTGAGTTTATTGTATAAATATCCACTTTAGATTTCAATCCAGGTAAAGCACAGGGATAGTTTCTATCTTTCTCACTGCTCTTTACTAAGTATTTTCTGTAATTTAATAGGTTCTCAATAAATGAATAAATTACTAGTCCAACCACCAGATACTTTGAGGAAAAATTGAACGTACATCTCAGATCTAGGCTCTTAAAATACTCTTCCCTTACCTCCTGCTACCCCCACATTTTATGATCCAAGAGAAATGCCCATGAGGGTGGAGGAATGTAGGGGTTTCAGTCTATATTACCCTAACATTAAAATCGGTAATCTTGATATTTAAAAAACCCACAGCAGAAGTTGTATACATAGTTTTGGTGATTCCTGTTAGCCTTTTCAAGTTAAGACTGCCTGAGCCTGGCCTTTTTGCTGACTGCCAACCAACATTACCTAAAAACAAAGACACATTGTTGCCAGGCCCTTTACTATTTATATTCTCTGCTCTTCTTTGTCTTACAAATCTGAAGTTTTTCAAAGACAGCTAAAACCCCTCATATTACTTGCCGAATAACTAAAGGTTTATTCCATGGCATTTTTTTTTTCATTTCCATAAAGTTTGTCTCCTAATCCTTATCTATTAAGAAATTTAAATTTTTCTCAGGTACTTGGTAAACTACAATATCCTAGTTGACATTAACTTCCACGAGACTCCTACAAAGATCACATTATGCTATCTAGAGTGGGTTATTATAGGCACTAAATGTACTTTCAACTCATTTTGAATACTCAAACTTACCAGCTCTAGACTGGTGGACGTGTTGCTCCAAATTGATTGCATTTTAAGTTGCAAACTTATTTTTTGGTTCCTAAACAAGAATGCCCACTTTTCCCGCTGTGTGAAATTATCGCGTGTTCAAACCCAAAGGCTCTTTTCAGAGCCACTTAATGATTTCGATTAAGAGTTTTAATGCTGGGTGCTGCTGTATTCTATGGGAGAAGTGTCGCCAATACAGATAAAATTTTCCTACATCACCAGTTTATTTTGCGCTTTTGACAAACACTAAGATTTTAGAGCTTGTTTGTCTTTATAAAGGTGGTGTATAACTACATTGTCCAGGCTGGTCTTAAATTCAAGCAAGTTTTCCCTCCTCGGCCTTGCTTTGTATTACTGAGCAGATAATTCTCACCCCTCTTAAGGAGCTTCTATCCCATGCACTATCTGGTATAGAAAAAGAAACACTTGGCCGGGCGCAGTGGCTCCGGCCTGTAATCCCAGCACTTTGGGAAGCCGAGGCTGGTGGATCATCTGAGGTCTGCAGTTCGGGACCAGCCTCGCCAGCATGGTGAAACCTCATCTCTACTAAAAGTACAAAAAGTAGCCAGATGTGGTGGTGGGCATCTGCATTCCCAGCTACTTGGGAGGCTGAGGCAGGAGAATCGCTTGAACCCAAGAGGCGGAAGTTGCAGTGAGCCGAGATTGTGCCACTGCACTCCAGCCTGGGTGACAAGAGCAAAATTCTGTCTCAAAAGAAAGAGAGACAAGAAAGAAAGAAAGAAAGAGAGAGAGAGAAAGAAAGAAAGAAAGAAAGAAAGAAAGAAAGAAAGAAAGAAAGAAAGAAAGAAAGAAAGAAAGAAGAGAAGGAAGGAAGGAAGGGAAAGAAAGGAAGAAAGGGAAAGAAAGAAAGAAAGAAAGAGAGAGAGAGAGAGAGAAATACTTTAAAGTCATGACAATATTGACCTCTTATAAAAAAAAAATCTGTCAAATATGCATCTAACTACCTGCTCACTGAAAGAGAAAATGAAGTCTGAATAAAAGACATTTGAGGACACTTTAGCTTTCTTCCTCAAATATAATTATAAGAAAGAAAATCTTATTCTATTTCACAAAGTAGATTTAAGTCGTGGTTTACTTATATTAAGAATCATTTTGTTTTTTGTCTATATTGTGATTTACTGACCTTCCTGTTTTGGTTAATTAACTACAACACTTACTTTTATGAGAATGTCATTTGAATTTTAACTGAAGTTCAGAATTTCCCATATTACCATAGAATACAAAATGTCATTTATTCACTCTACAGGAATTTTCTCACCAGTGATTACAATACTGGGAGGCCATATAATCCTGAGCATCCTTTTGGGATTTGCTGAAGAAAAAAAAAAAGACGATATTGATTCATATTTATGGAGCAATTCCTATGTGCCTGGCACTGAGCTAAATGCTGGAAGAAATACAATTACGAGGCAAAGTAACATCTTAGGTGAGCTTAGTAATGGCTAATTGGCAAACTAAAGATGGAGAAGGTGTAAGTATTAATCCCATGTCTACAATTCACTAATTGTGAGACCCAGAGAAGTGTATTTAAACTCACCAAAGCTCAGTTTTTTAACATATAAAATGGAAATAACTTGTCTTCATCATAAAGTTGTAGTGAAGATTAAACTAGGTTTTATACATACATAAAGGTTTTTCAATACATGCCAATTGAAAGTATTAAAAAATCAGAAAAAGCAAAAAGAATTAAAAATTAAAGTACATATGTATATACATATATACATATGCATACTTATATACATATGTACTTTATGGGTGGGAAAGGAGATAAAGGACTTGTTCTTTTCTATTTGTTTCTTCCTGTTTCTATCAGTGACATCCTAGAAGTGCTTCTTCACACAGACTAGCAATTTTGCTCAAGTAGTAGCAGTTGACCCCAGTTTGCAGTTTTTTCCAACGTTTGTTAAATCAGCCTTATTAAACCACCTCAAAGATACCAGCCCTGGCTGGGCAGAAAGCTGGAGAGGAAATACGACAACTGATAAAACCCCTTCAATCCTTTCTAAGAATCTGTATCTTTTTGTCCATTTACCCCAGGAACCATTTACCCCAGGATACCACGTATGTGTATCCAAAGACCATCTTTCTAGATACCTGTGCCTTAAGTCTTTTGCCAACAGCTACTCTCTCAGCTGCAAGCTGAAGGCAGTTGCAGGAGGACTTTCTCAGTTTTCATTGATGAGTGACTGAACAAGAAAAATTATCTTAACCTAATTTACTATATTTTTTCATGATGCTGATTTTGGATGAGCTCAGAAATAAAATCAAAGAGAAATAATTCAGGTCCCATTTAGGTTAATAAACATTAAACCTCGACTATGGACAATTTATCAATTATGTGCTGATCACTAGAGATATAGCAGAGAACAAAGTAGAAATAGTCCTTGTCCTTGTGCTGCTTATAGTTCAGGTGATCATGACTACAGTAAAGCAATTATATATTGTGATTATGAGACTGAAATGGCTTGCCCCAAACCATGAGAGAGTTAATGGCAGAACCAGTATAATCAGAACTTCTCACAATGCATTTAGTAATCTGAGATACTCTAGCACTTAATCCTGTATCTCCTTTATTAGACTGAATATTTTCTCTACCACTGCTAAAGCAAAAGTTCTTAATTTGGGTTCATTGATCACTGGGGAGAGCATAGATGGGCTTCAAGGACTCCAAAATTCCCTCTGAGAATGTGACTGGGAAGTTTTGATTGTGTCCCTATCTGTTCAAGAGAGCCTGTTGGATTCTCATTAGGATCCATTGTTCAGAGCCATTGTGCTACCTATTTCAGATTTGCATCACCCAAAATAAAAGCCTTCCACAGTGATGTTGACAATTTCTGCAACGGATTTTACCAAAAGAATTTGTGTATATACCCAGTAATGGGATGGCTGGGTCAAATGGTATTTCTAGTTCTAGATCCCTGAGGAATCGCCACACTGACTTCCACAATGGTTGAACTAGTTTACAGTCCCACCAACAGTGTAAAAGTGTTCCTATTTCTCCACATCCTCTCCAGCACCTGTTGTTTCCTGACTTTTTAATGATTGCCATTCTAACTGGTGTGAGATGGTATCTCATTGTGGTTTTGATTTGCATTTCTCTGATGGCCAGTGATGATGAGCATTTTTTCATGTGTTTTTTGGCTGCATAAATGTCTTCTTTTGACAAGTGTCTGTTCACGTCCTTCGCCCACTTGTTGATGGGGTTGTTTGTTTTTTTCTTGTAAATTTGTTTGAGTTCATTGTAGATTCTGGATATTAGCCCTTTGTCAGATGAGTAGGTTGCAAAAATTTTCTCCCATTTTGTAGGTTGCCTGTTCACTGTGATGGTAGTTTCTTTTGCTGTGCAGAAGCTCTTTAGTTTAATTAGATCCCATTTGTCAATTTTGTCTTTTGTTGCCATTGCTTTTTGTGTTTTGGACATGAAGTCCTTGCCCATGCCTATGTCCTGAATGGTGATGCCTAGGTTTTCTTCTAGGGTTTTTATGGTTTTAGGTCTAACGTTTAAGTCTTTAATCCATCTTGAATTGATTTTTGTATAAGGTGTAAGGAAGGGATCCAGTTTCAGCTTTCTACATATGGCTAGCCAGTTTTCCCAGAACCATTTATTAAACAGGGAATCCTTTCCCCATTGCTTGTTTTTCTCAGGTTTGTCAAAGATCAGATAGTTGTAGATATGCGGTGTTATTTCTGAGGGCTCTGTTCTGTTCCATTGATCTATATCTCTGTTTTGGTACCAGTACCATGCTGTTTTGGTTACTGTAGGCTTGTAGTATAGATTGAAGTCAGGTACCGTGATGCCTCCAGCTTTGTTCTTTTGGCTTAGGATTGACTTGGCGATGCGGGCTCTTTTTTGGTTCTATATGAACTTTAAAGTAGTTTTTTGCAATTCTGTGAAGAAAGTCATTGGTAGCTTGATGGGGATGGCATTGAATCTGTAAATTACCTTGGGCAGTATGGACATTTTCACGATATTGATTCTTCCTACCCATGAGCATGGAATGTTCTTCCATTGGTTTGTATCCTCTTTTATTTCATTGAGCAGTGGTTTGTAGGTCTCCTTGAAGAGGTCCTTCACGTCCCTTGTAAGTTGGATTCCTAGGTATTTTATTCTCTTTGAAGCAATTGTGAATGGGAGTTCACTCATGATTTGGCTCTCTGTTTGTCTGTTGTTGGTGTATAAGAATACTTGTGATTTTGTATATTGATTTTGTATCCTGAGACTTTGCTGAAGTTGCTTATCAGCTTAAGGAGATTTTGGGCTGAGACAATGGGGTTTTCTAGATATACAATCATGTCGTCTGCAAACAGGGACAATTTGACTTCCTCTTTTCCTAATTGAATACCCTTTATTTCCTTCTCCTGCCTAATTGCCCTGGCCAGAACTTCCAACATTATGTTGAATAGGAGTGGTGACTGTATATATACCCAAAGGGCTATAAATCTTGCTGCTATAAAGACACATGCACACGTATGTTTATTGTGGCATTATTCACAATAGCAAAGACTTGGAACCAACCCAAATGTCCAACAATGATAGGCTGGATTAAGAAAATATGGCACATATACACCATGGAATACTATGCAGCCATAAAAAAGGATGAGTTCATGTCCTTTGTAGGGACATGGATGAAATTGGAAACCATCATTCTCAGTAAACTATCGCAAGAACAAAAAACCAAACACCGCATATTCTCACTCATAGGTGGGAATTGAACAATGAGATCACATGGACACAGGAAGGGGAATATCACACTCTGGGGACTGTGGTGGGGTGGGAGGAGGGGGGAGGGATAGCATTGGGAGATATACCTAATGCTAGATGACGAGTTAGTGGGTACAGCGCACCAGCATGGCACATGTATACATATGTAACTAACCTGCACAATGTGCACATGTACCCTAAAACTTAAAGTATAATAAAAAAAAAAAGAATTTGTTTAGCAAAGTGTAGCCTAGATGAAATCTCCTTTAGAATATATATTTCTTACCTTCTATACTTGACTGCTGAAAATAGTTGTCAGTGAAACATTAACGTCTTTTAACATTATATAAGTTCAACTTGGCAGAAGAGAAAACCTAGATGAAATAGTATGAAAACATTCCTAAGAAGTGGAATGAAAGAAGAATATACTGTGACATTTAGCTTTAGATGTTAAGAGGGAAAAAAAGGTCAAGTCCTAAATGAAGGATTACTGTTATTCATATGAAAGAATTTCAAGTAAGAGCAGAGTGATTGAGACTCATAAGTGTGAATGATAGGACAATGGTTCATCTTCTGATTTATTTTATTTAACTTTTTTAATGTCCCTGTTCTTAAGGTGTTTATCTTGTACTGAATGACACAGGTAAGATACTCACCAAGCCCATCTGCTCTTTCTGAAAGCATAAAAAAACTACATTTCCCTGAATGCTTTGTAGTTATGCCAGGATCATGTGATTACATTCTGGCTAATGAGATATGGATAAAAGCGTAGTCCACAATTTCTGTTTCTGGCCATTAAACTCCATACACCATCATCCATCTACTCTCTTCTCCTTCTGCCAAACTGTGATCATCATGTATTATTGATGGTGGCCTCAAAAGAGGGAAGAAACCTGCATCTCAGTCACTGCTTAGTGGAAAAATGAGTCTCAAGAACTTACCTGTATGATGGTCTAGCCTACCCCTAGTAAAATAGTTTTGATTATTCATTTAAATATCAAACAAATACTAAAAACCCAACAAGTAAACAAACAAACATTGTAATTGCCAACAATCGAAACCAAATAGAAAGGTAGTCCCTTTAAGGAAGATAATTTAGTTATGGAAAAATGTTAATTCAAGCAAGATTTTAAAATAAGTGCTGCAAACAAATGTAAAGAAAAAATCTGTTAAAAGGGATTATCTTCTGTACTTTCCATTCAACTTTTCTGTGACTATAAAACTCCTTTAAAATAATAATATCTATTTAACAAAAGTTTGGGGTGGGTGGATATACCATGGGAAGAAAGTTGAATTTCAAGGCAGCTGGATATGAAGTAGAAGGTTGTAGGGGCTTTTCATCATTTTCCTCTATATATTTCTGTGTTTCACTTTTTTTAGTAACATGCATGCAGTTGTATACCACGTAATATAACTAATAAAGAACAAAAAATTGGTTTGAGTAGTATTTATAAATATAATTAAGAAAATTAGTATTTTTGTTATGAATAATATATAAATATTTGCATTTTCATATAATTATGAATCCATATATGGACAGCAAAAAACCCATTCCAACTTCGTTTAGCAGGGCAAGTCATTTTCTTAGAGAATATGTGCCATCTTGTAGTGAGTCAAAGCAATGTTCCATGTTTAGTACATCCATTCATGTGCTGGACAAGAGGTAGCACTTTCCAGTAGCCAGACTCTGTTGCTCTAAATACTTTTACAGAATTCTACTCTTTACAGTATCCATGTCCAAGAATATCTACTTTGTAGCGCTTGTTATGTTGTAAAAATTTAAAGTATTTTGTGAATGCAATTTTTTCTATATCCTCCCTAAGCCATAAGTCTCAAGAAGGCTGAGTCCATGTCTGTTTTTGTTCACCAGTGTATATGTCTCTGCATAACCTCCTTTATAGCACTGGTAAAGTAGCACTTAATAAATATTTGTTCAGTTAGGTAATTAACTGATTAATATACAGATACATGATCTTCTCAAGATATTTATTAAATTGAGAAAAAGGAAAGCTCAGAACCATGCGCACAATATCTGCCCATCTGCCTTGGTGTGCATGTTAAAAATTTATTCACATATATGCTTGAAAACAGATGAAAATCCTCTGGATGAAAACACAAGGAACTATTAAAGATGAGCACTGTTAGAGAGGGAAGCTGGAGGTCTGGGCTGGGACAGTTGCTGAGTTCTTCTTGTGTATTCTTGTAATCTGCATACCTTATTGGAACATTTACCATGAACATACATTATTTTTCAATATAAAAGTATAACGTCAAACAATAGATACTATAAGTATTTCCAAACTTATACATATGTAAAGTATACCAAATTGCTTATATTTCTTTTGATTTGTAAAAGAGAGAAAACAAAATTCCACATGTCTCAGATTATCTTAAACATTAGCACTATAATATCTAACTAAACTAATCATTTCATCATGTTCAAACCTCCTCTGATGGTAGTATACTTTTTCTATGATATATTTGCTTTGATCTATATGTATGTGTGTGTCTATGCATGCACATGCCCTTGCATAATATATATATTTGTAAGGTTCACAAAGTTTACAAATGTAAGAAATAAAATATAATCACATAAAAATACATAAAATATACTTCACAGCTAATATTCATTCAGTTTATATCAAATACCTGTAGATGAAAGATCTAGGAAAAATTTTCTAAAAAGTTTGCCAACAAAGAGAACAAAGTAGAAAACATCGAGAACATACACTATTATTTCTGAGTGGTCAACGTTATTTTCCTTTTTTGTTGGCATCATCAGAAAGTACCAGAAAGCAGTGACTCTCTTTGAAAAAAAATTGCCAATTGCCATATCACAGTATTCTAAAATTCCACAAGAACACAATTGTCTTATTTGTCTTCTTTTTAAATGGTTTCAGGAAGAGTCATCAGTTAATCATAAAATGTTTAATATTCCCCTTCCAGCAAGACCACTATTTGAGCTTGCCTACCTGACTGCCTGCTTTCCTGTCTTCCTTCCTGCCTGCCTTCTTTCTTTTCTTTATTTCTTTATTCCTTCCTCCCTTCTTTCCTTCTGTCTTTATGAGGTACCATGATACCCTAGAAATAGTCATTGCCCAAAATATCAAGAGGACTCAATTTTAGATCAGGCTGTGTTTCCAATTCTGTGACCTGGAACAGATTGATTTTCCATTCCCCTTACTAATTCCCTCACTTAACAAAGAAATAGCTCAGCCCAAATTTTCTCTAAGGTGGTTTTTAATTCTAACATTAATGCAACCCAAAAGAACTACACAAGAATTTAGGGTCTGAGTGAAGAGTAGTTAACACTTCAGGGAACCTATTACAGAAAAATACTGATGATTTTTCCAAGGTGATACTGAGGCTCCAAGGCCATCAATTGCTCCATGTTCCCTCTCTAACAAAATGCCTTGGGCATCATTAAGACTGATTGGGTGCTCAGAAATGGGCAATTACCAAACTTGAAAATAACTATTTGCCTTAATACTAAATAAGTTTCAGAGGAACTAATTAATCAAAACAATGTTAAATAAGAAAACTTCCTGGGTGATGATTGCTATCCAGCTCTGAAAGTTACTCCTGGGACCATGCAGATTGAGCAGCAAATAGGGACTAGCAATAGGAAATGCCTTTGTAAATTGATGTGGTCGGGAGGGCCAGTTTCTAACATTATTGGTTCGTTAGTTGCTATCTTGTCTTCTTGGGTCTTGTTCCCTTGCCCTGGAAAAAACAAAATTATATTCCAATTCAGCAAACCCCAGCAAGCCTAAGGGATTAAATTAATTTATAAACATTGGAAGCTGTAAGAAAGGCTGTAATTCACACCCTGATTATGTTGAAGAGCATGGGTCTTTCCATCTCTAGGTTGGAACACCAGCTCTCGATCTCCTGTGAGTTATTTAAAATTCTTGAGTTTCAGTTCCCTCAAATGTAAAAGAAGGTTAAATAATAGTATGTACAATGGGAAACCAAGTGAAATTATGCATTTAATGTGCCTGGGGCATAGAAAGAGTTCAACATATGTCCATTGATATTATAGTTTAGCCCACTGTCACTCTCACCCAGTTTGTGTGTGTAATAAAATATTCATAACATAAAATTTACCATTTTAACCATTACAAGAGTTAATTCAGTGTTAATTCAAAGTTAACTATTTTAAGTGTCAATTCATTTTTAATTCAGTGGCATTACATACATTGACATTGTGTGCAGCCATCACCACCATCTAATCTCCAGGAATTTTTCATCTTCCCAAACTGAAACTTTCTCTGCTCTTTAAACAATTACTCCACATTGTCCCCTACTTTCAGACCCTGGTAACCACTATTCTATTTTCTGACTCTATGAATATGACTACTCTAGGTACCTCATACAAATGGAATTATATAATATTTCTTCTTTTGTGTCTGGTTTATTTCACTTGGTACAGTGTTTTTAAAGTTTATCCGTGTTGTGGAATATGTGTCTGAATTTCTTCTTAAGACTGAACACTATTCCATTGCACATATATAGTATTACATTTTTTATCTACTCATCCCTGAATGGATATTTGCATTGTTTCTACATTTTAGCTATGACAAACAATGCTGCTATGAATGTGAGTCAGCTTTTTAACCACACAAAGAGAAATCAAAGATTTTCTTTTGAGATAAGGATGAATATGGTCATGTAAGATACTGGCCAGTTTATAAACATTCGCTCAACAAATCTTACTAAGTGCCTACTCCGTAGCAGGCATTCTGCTAGAGGAATAGTGATGAACAAAAAGAGCTTTCCATCAGCATACAAATTATAGGTGCCCCAAGAAATATCGGAACTAAAATGGAGCAGCTGGCCACCTGGTGTGGAAAGCTCTGGCCGTGGCAGCTTCCTCAGGCACTCCAGAAAGACAACAGAGAAGGTCTGATGCTGAGCTGATGGTCCCCATAGAGGCTAATCCAGCATCCATGGCTCTGCTCTCTGCTTTGCTACAATGTGCATGTTGCAGAAAAGCAATTACCCCGATGGCCCCATTGTGATAAGGGACCATGACGCTGCAGGACATGTACATGTTCCGAGTGTCGGTGGAGATACAGCCAGGCAAAAATTGGTTGATAGGTGGAGCTGATAGTGTCTCCTGGCAAATGCAGCTCCACCTGGACTCCCAAATTCATCTTCATTGTTATTAGATATGTTTGTACCTTTCTTCTGATGTGTCACTTTACTGATGTCTAGGCTGCAGCATGACTAACAACTAGTGAACATTCAGCAAATTAGACATTCATCTGATTTTTAAATACATAATATGTAAGCATTAGATTGCATTTTAAATCCATTTTCATTATAACAAGAAATCTCAACTTTCATTTATCAAAAAGAGAAAATGAAGATTGTTTTTATTTTAGACACATTAAATACATATAAACTAAAGATCATACATATTTATTGTGTACAACTTGATATTTTTATATGCCTATACATTGTGAAATAACACAGTCAAGATAAGTGAAGAACAGCTTTAAATATCATTTCTTTAAGTTGAGTTTCAGCTCCCTTAAAAATTTGAATTCCATAAAACTTAATTTTCAAATTGTGATTAAAAATTATTCATCCAGAATTGTTCATAGTCATTTCAATCATAAAACCTAAGGTAAAAACTGTTGTACTTATGGAAGAAAACTCAAATTTCTCCTTCAAAAATTGGAGAAAATTTGTTTCTAATTTGTATATGAATTAAAATCATCTGATCGGGTGCAGTGGCTCATGCCCGTAATCCCAGCACTTTGGGAGGCCAAGGTGGGCAGATCACCTGGGGTCAGGAGCTCGAGACCAGTCTGGCCAACATGCTGAAACCCTGCCTATACTAAAAATAAAAAAATTACAGGTGGCAGGCGCCTGTAATCCCAGCTATTCGGGAGGCTGAGGCAGCAGAATCACTTGAACCCAGGAGGTGGAGGTTGCAGTGAGCCAAGATTGTGCCATTGCACTCCAGCCTGGGCCACAAGAGCGAAACTCTGTCTTAAAAAAATAATAATAAAATAAAATAAATAAAAAATAGATAAATAAAATCATCTTCCTAATCATTTTATATTTTATATTTTTTGTTACATTATATGTTAAAATTAATGAAATGTCTGAACTAGCTCCATTTAGACACCCTAGTTCTCTCCTAATTCCTCCAGTGTTATGTTCATATATTAAAAATGCTCTTCATTATTTTACCATAACATGAAATATGTTAAGCACCAATAATAATAGCAAACCACTAGTGCTCATTATGTACCAAAGCACTGTGCTAGACCTTTTACAAAAATTAACTGCTTAACTACTATTATTATCACCTTCTCTCTACATAGGAGGTTATGGAAGCTCAGAGAGGTTAAGTAATCTGCCCATCTCCACACAGCTATCAAGTAGCACAGTCAAGATTTGATATATGTGGCTCTAAGGCACATGCTCTTATCCAATACTTAGTATACTGTCTCTCTAAAGCTACATAGAAATAGAATTTCTCAAGCTGCAGTTTGAGTTCTATTACCGGGAAATGAAATCATCTTAGTAGGTTATGACTAGCATTATTTAAAGGAATGCGATACAATAAATACATAAAACATGGTTGTCAAGCTTTTCTATAAAGGCCCATATAGAAAGCATTTTAGGCTTTGCTGGCATACTGTTTATGTGACAACTACTCAGCTCTATTTGTTTCATCCATCCAAACCTGAGGCTAGAGTAACCCCAAAAGTGACTGCAGGGGAGGTCTCAAAAAGGAGTGCCCAAAACCCTCCCAAGATGGGGCCAATTGGGATTCCAAAGATAGAAACACTAAACACCAGGGTGATCCATCCAAAGCATTTATTAGAGAAATTTACAAAGTGCTGCAGCAATCCTCATGACAGATGGCAAGAGAAAGGGAGGTTCTGCTGGGCATATGCCCAATGAATGTGTTGGGTTATGGAATTTATAGGACAGTTTAAAGAATTCATCTCAGGACCAGGGCTAGTTTCTTTTCGTATCTGAGACAACAACCTAAACAAGTGTATCAGTGCCTGGAAATGTCCAAGCTTGAGTTCAAGTATGCAGGGAAAAACATGGAGCTGGTAAGGTCACAAGAGCAATCAAGATACTCCATATTTTTTGGTCAAGACAAAGAAAAAATGGGAAAAATAGAGGAACCCCACACTGCCCTTGTAGTCCCAAAGCATCCAAGGACTATTCATAAATCAGTAGTTGTGGTTTATATATTATTACCTTACATGTGGATACATTTTTGGTTATCACACCTGGAATGAGGGGTGTTAAAGGCATCTAATGCAGAGGGCAGAATGTGGTTAAATGTCTTACAATGCAAAGGATATCCCCACAATTAAGAGTTATCCAGGCCAAAATGTCAGTAGAACTGTTGTTGAGAGATTCTAATATAAAGATGGTTGTGTTCCAGCAAAACTTTTTTTATGGATGCTAAAATCTAAATTACAAATAATTTTCATGAGTCATAAAATATTCTCCTTTTGACTGTTTCCAATCATTTAAGAATGTAAAAACCATTCCTGACTTGCAAGTTGTACAAACACAGGTGTCAAGCTGGATTTGATACACAAATCATAGTCTGCTGATTTCTGAAGCAGAATATTTAAAGTGTATTGAAGGAGTAAAACTAAGTATATTTTGTGGAACTCTTCTTCCAGTTGTATATTTGTATGACTCTACTGGGTCTTTCTATATTTCCTTCTGTGGGACATGTTTGAAAGATAGCGATTGGGAGAAATGATTCTTTTGTAAGAAAGAATTTAGATAGCAATATCCCTCTAAATTGTGGCCAATTCATTGTGTTCTCCTTGAATTAGATTCTTATTTAAAAATTATGGTTTGAAACTCTACAGGAAGCACCTTTAAATGAAGACAAGACTGTACAGTTTGGCTGAACTCAACCAAGACTTGACTGTGGAGACCCACACGTAATGTTGTTCAAGACTAAATCACTAAACCTTTGGCAAAATAATCTATGAATTGACTCCTTTGTTCTGATGAGACTTGTCTTTCTGAAGCCCATGGAGCAATCTACCTGTAGGCTCAGGGTAAGCCATGTCATAGCTCCAAAATGTTCCCAGAATTACATGTTTTTCTCTTATTATACCCAGTCTTTAATAAAGACTCATTAGAAGTTGCAGACTGGCCTCAACTATGCTGTGGGTGGCTCTGGATAAGATAGGCTGGTTTGCAGGTTTGGGAAGAAATGGCAGAGGGAAGACTAGCCACAGCAGGGAAGCAGAAGAAACTTGCAGCAATTAGTCCTGGAGCCTGTCAGTGGAGCAGAAGCAGCCAGAGGCAATCAAGGAGGCAGGAGAGCACCAGCACTCATTGTTTCCCCTGGAATACCCTGAACTCCATGGAGAAGAGACACTGGTACAGTTGCATTTCTTGCAGCCCAGAAGAATGAGAACTGGAGTCTATTATAATTTGACATTAAAGGAAAAAGCATGTCATTTTAAGCTATAAGCTAAAATATCCAGGGGATGCTTGGGTTATGCACAGACTCAGCAACAAACACGTCCCTGAATAAGAGGTGCCACCCCATCTTACTCCCCATTTGGAGTTCTTTCCATTGGACAAGTTATTTGTAATGAAATTACTGAGTCCAACTACAGAAGCATTTTAAAGCCTCTTGATAGATATTTACAAATTTATTTTGCCATTTACAAGAACAAAGTGCATTTTACTTACCAAGCTGTGAGATATTTTCCAATGTTTGGTTTAAGCATTTTCTCTGGACATTTTAGTCAGAACTGTTCTCATATATCTATGAGCCCTTTGCAAAAATAGTAAGAAAACTTCCAGGTATGTATTTTCTACAAATATTTTCCCACATTTTAAATTGATTTTTAATTTTTTGACCATGGAAGTTTTATGATATATGGTCAAACCTATCTAGCATGTTTTTTCTACACCCCTTTTAAGCCTAGAAAATACACCAGTACCCCCATATGTTTTGCTAGTATTATGCTTATCTTTACCATTGGTTATCTGAGTCATTTTTCAGAGCAAATATTGACTAAATTCTTTCTTCCTCATGCCCTTCTCATTCCTTTTCTTTAAGAAACAAAAATTTTAAAGATCTATTTTTAAGTGGTAAAGCTTCTCTCTATCACTTCTCAAAACTCAATTTATTTTACCTTAAGTGACAGGAAAGATTTACATTCCTATCGTGTTCTTTCTTTCCCTACATAACATTGTTTTTCAAACTGTAATCCTGGGACAGAACTTCTGCCTATAACTCAGACAAAAGGTTCCATTGTCAAATAACACTGGTTCCATCAATATAAACAGATTTATTTAATGCCATAGTTCTGGAAACACTTTCTATGCTAAAGTTCTTTTTGAGTCACCAAGGGGAGGGAAGGTGGAACATACAAGACACAGTCTTCTCCAAAATACTTTATTATGAATTTGTTTTCTATGTCTACCAGTAACTCACACAGTTGGAGAAGGGCTATCTGAGGCAGGCTACTTTGGGAAAATCCTCCAGTATTTGTGTTATCTTTCTCTCCCTCCATCCCAGGCACTCAGGGGCCAAAGAACAAGGAAGGTTGAGATATAGCAAAAAGGACCTAATCCCAAACTAAGGCACTGACTACAGTGGAGTCCCACTTACTCATTAGTATATTTCCCACAGCTCGCTGGTTTCAAGTATTGGTAGACACAGGCAACATAACAGTTAAGTAAAGAGTGACCACCTCATTTAGCTGACTGCATTCCATCTAAAGTCCATTTGGAGCATGTAAAAATGTCACAAGAAACCATCCATGACAAACATGAACCAAAAAAGAAAACACAATATATAAAAATGTAGAGTCTAGGATGGCAATGTGTGAGTCCAGCATGAGACAATGATTTTAGCGATATAGACCCATGTATTAAGTGCTTATTACATCCCAAAGGATATGTAACATGCTTAATGACCTATCACCTTGTTAAATTTTCACAGTCTCATCCCAGGTGTGTTTCCATTGTGGCATGTTGTTCTTCGCTTCAAAAGAATCTTTCATCAAGCACCTTACTCTTAAACACTTTCCCATAATACCAGAAAAAAATCAACTTCTTATAAACAACATTCTAGGATAAATATTATCCTCAATTTACATACAAGAAGAGATTTAAATTAAAACTCATACAGATAATTCACTAGGTATCTGTATTCTTATCTTCATCTTCTGATCCAAGATACAATGGAGAAAGGAGTTTTCATGTCCTACACCTCATTTACTTTTCTGCAAACTGAGAGCATTTGTTATAAAGGGCAGGATACAAATATGAGTTACATTCCGACAAAGAGTTGTTGAGTAAATCAACTTAAACAAGTTTTTTAATTTATCTTTTATTTCTATAGGTTTTTGGGGGAACAGATGGTGTTTGGTCACATGAATAAGTTCTTTTGTGGTGATTTCTGAAATTTTGGTGGGTGCACCCATCACCCAAGCAGTGTACACTGTACCCAGTGTGTAGTCTTTTATCCCTCGCCCCTTCCCACTCTTTCCCCAGAGTCCCCAAAGTCCATTGTATCATTCTTATGCCTTTATGTCCTCACTGCTTAGCTCCCACTTGTGAGTGAGAACATACAAAGTTTGGTTTTCCATTCCTGAATTACTTCACTTAGAATAATAGCCTCCAATTCTATCCAGGTTGCTGCGAATGCCATTATTTCATTCCTTTTTATGGCTGAGTAGTATTTCATGGTATATAGATACCACATTTTCTTTATCCACTCATTGATTGATGGGCATTCTGGGTCCATATTTTTGCAATTGCAAATTGTGCTGCTACAAACATGTATCTTTTTTGTGTGATGACTTATTTTCCTCTGGGTAGATACCTAGTAGTGGGATTGCTGGATCAAATAGCAAATCTACTTTTAGTTCTTTAGGAATTTCTACACTGTTTTCCACAGTCCCTGAATGTGTCCCATCTCATCTGATTGCAAAACAGTATTTCTAACAGTTTTGTTATTTGTGGAAAGAAAAATAAAGGTCTTTATTTTTCAACTCATTACTATAGGAATATAAAACAGAATTCCATATTTATGTACATTTTCTTTTCTCTGTTATGGGAAATCTCAAAGTAAACTAAGAAGTTATAAAGGTATCTTTATAAGTGTTGGTGATGAAGTGCCTGCTAATAACACAGAAATCAAATTAGTTTACATGCAGCAACATTTAGAGATTGTCATGTGTCAAAAATAATAAATGTTGCAATGATAAAATTATTATTGAGCATTTATTATATCTAGGCAAAAAACTAGATACCTACTATTTATTATCTGATTTAAATTATAACAGGATAATAAATGTTGTCTCTGATTTTCAGCACAGGTCCCCAAATCAAGGGCAAACTGCTGAGTGTCTGAAGTCAGTGAATTCTAAAGCTAGTATATGGACATCTGCTTGCTAAGGGGATGGGAGCATCCCATACTGGTTCCTCCACCATTAGTAGATTTGATCATTCACCTCTGAACTCTCTAAGCCTAGAGGAAAAGAATTTGGGAAGAGGAAGTGAAGAGAACTGGGGGAGAATTTCCTTGGAGAGAATTGTCAATGGCCATTCTTTTCCTTCTACCTAAACCAAGTGACAGAGCCTGCAAAAGGTCCACATTTGGTGGAAGAGCCTACTCTTCCAGAGCATGGAGGGAACAGGAGGCATCTGTGTCCCCATTAGCCAGATATGGGTCTCATTGAAGTGGGAAGATTCTGTATCATCTTAAAAAGGAACTCTTTCAAGGCAATCTCCTGGGGGGTGAGATGATCATGGTATAGAAGTCAATGCCAAAAGCTAAGGAACTGCTGGAGGAACCGTAAATGTCCAGCCCGAGAAGGCACTGGCCTCACAAAAAACTAAAGGGCTGAATTAAGAGGTCAAGCCTTCAGGGGTCGCAGGGGAAGCAGGGACTCTTGTTCTGAGGAAGCTATGAAAGCATCTCCCAAGAGAAAGAACTAGCAATCATGCATACATTGTTAGAATGTGCTAACACCAGATTCCTACTACTCCAGTCATCTATTTTTGCTCTCTTTTGCCTCTTCTTTCAATCCTGGCATTCGATCTTGGGCTAGTCACACAGCAACTACATAGTCAGAAATGAAGAACAGCATTAAATGGGGAATCTGATTTGCCTCCTTTCTCTACTAAAGTCTCCAGAGCCTGAGATGGGGTAGTGAGGGTGATTAATTGCGATAGGGTATACAGCTTGATGTTACAGTGGACTCAACTTTTTTTTTAATACTTTAAAGAAAATCACTTGTTTCTTACTTCTGAGTGAAAGAAAAAACTATTAGAGCTAGCTATCTACAATGCCAGTAAGTGGAAGGAAGGTTTAAGATAATAATACCATTTTAAAGGGCCAATTACAAAAAATAATAAAGCTTCTGCTTCAGCTCCTTTGTACTTCAGCTCCTTCAAAAAACTCAGTGAATTTGGTATTATCCCAAGGTTATAGGTAGAATTAAAAGACAGCCCTAAAACCACAAACTTCAAGTGACAAAATGAGGATTAGAATTCAGTTAGACCTAGACTGTCTCAAAACCCAAGCTCTTTCCACACCCATGCTGCCTCCATCTCCCCTTCCATTATTACATGTTAAAATCTTGCAATGGAACAAATATTGGGGAATCTGGCACACTTAGGGAAACAATCTAGTTCCAAAATTTTGCTGTTTCATTGAATAAATTTCATTAGGAAGCAGCAAAATGTGTTTATAGTTTATGTAGTAATTCCACATCTATTACCTAATTTAATCTTCATAGAAGCCCTATGATGTGGTGGATATTGTCATTACTTCCATTTATCTCATCCTGGACTTGACTGACACATCAAAAGTGTAATTACCAGAAATGTATCTTAGATCCACTATCCTGTAAATTCCATGGATGCAGGAGTGATATTCATAGTTTTCACTATCACATGTAGCACCAGGGTCAGTGCTTGACACATAGAAGCAGCTCGATAATTATTTGTTAAAATAAATTAATGTATGAAGTCTTCCGATTTTAAATCCTATAATTATTTTTACTATATCACACTTCTTCTCTACCATATCCAACAAATATTCTACTATCTGGGGTAGAAACTTTATGTTACCTAGGAAATTTATTTTCACCCAGGTTCCAGAAGTCCAAGTGGAACTACCATAAGTACATTTTATGGCAAGCCACATTTTGGATTTTTATAAATGACAAGATAATAAAAAAGATTTTTCCCAAGCCTCCGTAACTGGCCAATAATCTGGCTAGAATAAATTGATCTCTAAGGCCCTTCCAGCTAAACACGTTATAATTATGTGGGCACTCATTGAGCAATTGTCTGTTTTCAGAAATTGTGCATTCTGGAATAATCAATAAAAATAGCTCATAATACTTTGTACGTATAATGCACTCTAAAATATAGAAACTTTATTTATTTACCTAGCCAGTAGAATATGACCTTCAGTGAAAACATTTTAATTATCCTTGCCGGATTCATTTTGGGCAAATAGGTGGAACTAAAAGTCCCTTAAAAACCTTAGGATATTTCTGTAACAATTTGGCTATGATTTTAATGTCATCTAGGAAGCTGATTTATTCCTCAGTGAAGCTCTCTCTTTTTTGTCTCTTCATTACAAAATCAAGAGGTAAAGCTAGGTTGGGAGAGACAAGATAGAATTGGGTAACCATCGTAGGACTCTAAGAGGACATGGAACCCCTGGCATGGGTGCCCACTCTCCTCATGCTGTGGTGACACATCACTGGGCTACAGACCACAGGGATGCTCAGTACTCATCATGCCCAGGAGTCATGCCAGTCAAATTGAGCTGCATGCATGTGGTCCTTTATGATGCTGGAAATCTACTAATCTCACTAGAGCCAGCAGATCTATAAAGGGCCTACTTTCTACTATAACATTTCTCCATACATTCTTGGCTGGGCCATTACCAGGTTATAGAAGACATTATCATACACACGACCAAACCACAAGCTATCAAAGTTCAAAACATCCTCTAAACATCTATCAGAAAATTGAATCATGAGAAAATACAGAACCGATTTTTTCAGAAGCTCTTTTAGGTATGAAATTCATTAGAGATGCATGCAAGTCTCTTTATTGCCATAAGTAGGCCCAGTGGCCTGCCTCATTTGTCATACAGTTCAAAAGAGATCTGTCTTCATTCCCAGAGATATGCATAGTTCTTTGTGTCAAGGCCACCCTAAAATCCTGGTGCATACAGCCAAGAGTTTCATTCCATTCATGAGGCCAACCACAAAATCCCCACATCATTTTTTTTTACAAATTCCTATTGATGGGAGTTAGACATGAGTACAAAACTTATAGCACTAAATTTTTATATTCTAATGCCAGGGATTCATCAAAAAAATACATTAGCAGAGTGATTTAAAAATAACAAAAAATAAATAATAAAGTAAAGCTTTTTTGAAAATAATTGGACCATGAGATGTCTGAGGGAAGTAAAATTAAATGGACCACGAGTTTGAACTGTAATATTGGTATGTTATAGGGAAAAGATTACATATAGGGCCAAATAAATCCACATGGATTGACTAAATAAGTGAATAATTGGATGGTTGAATGGATAAAGGGATGCTAAACAGCCCCCAAACACTTGCAAGTGTTTTGGAATCTTAGGAAGCCACACAATTACTCTGTTCTTTTAAATTTTCCTCCCTAATTCCTTCTGGATAAGAATTTAGGCCTTGCAAAACTTCCTCTGAGTGACAGTCCTGTGGATGGCATCTTTGACTTCCTTGTTTCTCAAGCTGTAGATAAGTGGGTTCAACATAGGAATCACTGCTGTGTAAAACACAGACACTACTTTATTGAGATCCAGGGAGAAGGTTGCACTGGGATGTACATAAATAAAGAAAAGGGTACCATACGAGATGAAAACAGCTGTCAGGTGAGAAGAGCAAGTAGAAAAGGTTTTGCACCTCCCATCAGCAGAGCGGATCCTCAGGATGGCCATGAGGATGTAAATGTAGGAAATCAGGATAGTCAGACCACTGAAGACTCCCACAGCTCCAGCCACGATGAAAACTGCCAACTTATTGAGCCTGGTATCAGCACATACAAGGGAAAGTAAGGGGGACATATCACAGAAGAAAGGATTGATGACATTAGGGCCACAAAAAGGGAGACAAAATGCATTTGTTGTGTGAGTCATGGTATTCATGAGTCCAATGACATAGGGACCCACCACTAGCTGGATGCAGAGCCTCTGGGACATAGCAACTGAGTATAACAATGGGTTACAGATGGCCACATAGCAGTCATAGGCCATGGACTCCAAGAGGAAACAGTCTGCTGCCACAAAGAACCCAAAGAACCACTGCTGCAAAGCACAGCCAAGGAAAGAAATGGCTTTCCTCTTCACAAAGAAGTCAGTGAGCATCTTGGGGCTCACAACTGAGGAGAAGCAGGTGTCCACAAAGGACAGGTGGCTGAGGAAAAAGTACATGGGTGTGTGAAGGCGGGAATCAATTCGGATGAGGACAATCATTCCCAAGTTTCCAGTTACATTGATGACATAGAAAGTTGTCAGAAAGAGTAGGAAAAGGAAGACCTGCAACTGAGGATTGTAATTCAAGCCTGTGAAAATGAATTAGGTGACCTTTGTGTAGTTTTCATTAGCCATTGACTGGTTCTGCTTTCTACTAGAAGAAGAGCAAAGAATTCACAACAGACTTGATAAATGTGACTTCAAAAATGAGACACAGCAAAAATATGCCACGAACTTGGTCAAAGTCAAGAATGATATAAATTAGTTACACCATGCAGTCAAACAAAAGTGAGATATACACCAGTGCAAAACAGCAGACCTGAAGCTATGACATCTTAAGACTCCATGAAAATCCATCTGTACATAGATGAGAAAACAGAAGAAGCAGCTTTCTCAAGGTCCCATAACTAATTATTGGCAGAGTTGATTCCTGAATACTTGCCTAATGACTTCTACTTCAGTGACCCTTACCTGAGTCCACCAGGTAGACACACACCTGGTGAAGGGATGCAGGAGGGTGGGAGTGAGCAAGCTAGAGAGGAAATGAACAGCCACTCATTTCTAGGCCATATGCTGTGCACTTTATGATTACAACCTAAGGCTAAATGCATGTTTTCCAAGTGCACTGGAGTCCACCTCTTCTGACCCTGAAAAAGTAACTTATCTTCAACTCTGTCATGGGAATAACAATACCTACCATGTAAGTGTTGTGAGGTTTAAATGAGATGATGCATGCAAAATATCTAGAAGAGTCTTACTAAACATCTAGATAAGTGCTCAATAATTACTACTCATATTATCACATTAGTTAATCCCTCTAGAAAGCCTGCAAGCTAAATATTTTTTTTAATTTCAAGGAGAAACACTGAAGCTCAACCCTCATTCATAAATCTTGTGACTGGCAGAGGTGAACTTTGAACACAGGTCTGTCAAACTTCAAACATGGACCCCATATTTGGACTTCATCCAAAAGGACTATACTCCTTCCTTTTTCACACTTTTTCAATGCTTCCTGTGCCTTCACAGTTCCTTTGCTCTTAAGAGATCCAAAAGAAAAGAAAAGAATCTGGAAAAAGAGCCCAAATTCTGTATCCTCTGTATATTCTTTTGTCATCCACTATAAGGGTGATCTTCAGCTGATCTCTCCAAATCTTAGCTGCTTGATTTATTAAATATAGCAAAAACTCTTGCTCTTTGATCTCTGAGAATTATCATCCACTTAAAATGAGAGGATCAAGGTACAAGTGCTCAGAAAACTATTTTATTAGCCTCGAATATTGCAGTTCAATATCATACTTACGATAGGAACTTTTCTTTCATTTTTCTAACATGAGATTTATTATTTGACTTTAATAGACCTCCTTTAAGGCCAATAATATACACACTTGGCATGATATCATTTGTTTCAGAGGAATTAAAAAGACAGATTAGGTGGCCAGTCTAAGTGTTCAACCATCACATTCACCTCTTGCTTAAGCTCCTCCAGGAACACGCTACATTTCAGCCTTTGACTTGAAAATCGTCCAGAGCTCTTCACCCTTTCTTTGTCAATCTTCGTTTCTACAACTGCCCAATCCTTCTATCCCTCTAGACACATTTTGGCTTCTCCATTTCTGTTTTATTCAGTGCTTAGAATAGAATACAGTGGTCCGTAGAGATCAAACCACACAGAGTGAGAGACACAATTGGCTCTCATATTCAGGGCACTAAGGTACCAGCAACACAACCTACAACAGCTTTCCCTTAGCAAGGAAATCACCTGGGTGTTTTAGGCATCGAATGGGTGGGATTCAGTGCTGTCTTGTCCCATTATAGTACTGCTAAAGCATCTCTGTCCCACTTTATAATTATGTGATTATAGTTTGATCTGGTTGCAGAACCTTATCTCTACACACATCATCTCTTCTTAGCTCTTGCTGAATCATTCGTCAATGACAAGGGTAATGCTGATCTTGCCATGAACCAAATATGTAATCTAGTTGAATTCCACTTGAAAAAATTTACGTTTTCTTGAGCTTGTTAATAAGCAGATAATTAAAAAGCAGAAAATTATTTAAAAGTTCTCAACTCACTTTTTAATGAGTTCCTCCTTATTTAACGATGACGAAAAGAAATTATTTAAAAGTTCTCAACTTACATTCTAATGGGCTCCCTCTACTTCAACAACAAAAGGAACTAAAGTAAAACTAAGCCCTGTCTCAAGTTACAACCCTCCCCTTCACACAGCTACCTTGACATAGAGAATGGGTCAGAATTTACTTTTGTCATTTGATTTTATTCTTTATCTTCTTCCAAATAAACGTGGAAGACATCAGTGTAAAACATAATCAGATTCTTTTTCAATTAGATAAATGTTCCCTGAACTAGTTGCATCATTTTTTTTCTTGCTGTTGTTATTGAAGGCACTCTGTCCCCAGAGTGTGCCATAACTTGGGAATGAGGCTGCTTAAGGGAAAGTGCAATTAAAGTTGTTTTATATTCTAAATAAGTCCAGTAAGATGTTTCTTGATAATTTTGTGTTTTGTTTCTAACTGGATATAGTGACTCCACTTCTCTCTAGTTCCATACTAAGCAAGGAAACTCCATTTACAAGGTATGTTTTTTAAATTGACATAGCACAAGAGAGGGAGGGCCACCAAAGAACCTTAGCTATCTCTGCCCCCCCTCTGTTTTGCATTCATGTCTTGGGAACATGAGCAAAATCTGTAGAAAATGGATTTTCCTTAGAAGTAGCATTTAACACATGTTGCTGAAGAAGTTAATTTTCCCACAACTTTGACCAAAACACGTAAAGAGTTTAATTATTGTAAGCTGGAAGATGACTTCTGATGATGTATTAATTGATCATTAAACTTCAGCAGATTATATCTAAACAGTTGAAGTATGGTAAAGAATACACATTTCTTGTTGCCAAGAAAAGAATAAAAACCAGTTCAACAAAACACTTCATGGTTAAGTTTTACCTCCACTGCAAATAGCATTAACCTGACAAAAAAGTCAAAATAGAATTCTGAATTTTGATTCTAGACAACTACAAGTCTTTCAGCATACAACAGAATGTCCCTACTCTGAGAATTTTGTTTTTGATTTCTTTACATGCTGCCATGTTCTTTAAAGCATTTTTTATGAGAGCTAAATTTTTGATGAGTCTGTTGACTATATGCATGCAAAACAAATTTACCTCTCCCCTGAAAACCCTTTAGGTATCACAGCTTAATTTTTTTATGTCTAAAATAGTATTAACAGTCATTATTACTAATGATATTAATTTTTACTATGTTTAATATTGTTAAGGATACTGATAATTATTTGACTTTTCCCCCTTTGGGGGTAGCAGGTTTGATTGTCTTCATACATAAATAATTATTTTATTAACCTTACAATAAAACCATCTCTTCTAGGACTTGTCTAGGTGTGAGCTTCTTTTTCTTGATTTTTGTCCAGATGTAGTAAAAAATTTAAATCTAAATACGTGACTTTCTTTTTTTTTGTTTTGTTGTTTTTTTGAGAAGAAATCTCACTCCCTCTGTCGCCCAAGCTGGAGAGCAGTGGCGCCATCTCGGCTCACTGCAACCTCCACCCCCAGGGTTCAAGGGATTCTCATGCCTCAGCCTCTCAAGTAGCTGGTATTACAGGTGCACTACCACACCCAGCTAATTTTTGTATTTTTAGTAGACATGGGGTTTCACCATGTTGGCCAGGCTGGTCTCGAATTCCTGACGTCAAGTGATCCACCTGCCTTGGCCTCCCAAAGTGCTAGGATTGCAGGCATGAGCCACCACTCCTGGACCTAAATATGTGACCCTTTATTAGCCCAGGAAACATTCTGTAGCCTTGATCATCCTTTCTGCCCTGATTGTTCTGATTTATCCTAAAAATACACATATTATCTGTTAGGTGAATCTCTATTCTATGTTTTTGATATCAGTATGTGTCTTTTCATCCTTTTAATTACGTTTTCTTTTCTCTCTGCACTTTGTAAGAACTTTTCAAGAAACCCCGTCTCTAGTAAAAATACAAAAAAAAAAAAAATTAGTCGGGCATGGTGGTGCACACCTGCAATCCCAGCTACCCAGAAAACTGAGGTGGGAGAATTGCTTGAACCCGGGAGGCAGAGGTTGCAGTGAGCCGAGATTGTGCCACTGCACTCCAGCCTGGGTGGCAGGAGACTCCATCTCAAAAAAAAAAAACAAAAAATTACTCTCAAACAAAAATTTGATCCTCTAAGTGTCGATTCCTTTTAAAGCCTCCATGTGGCTTTTATTTCTGCAGCTGCATTGTAATTTCCTTAAAGTTCACAAATCCTCTTCATTATTACTTTACTATGATTTTGCCTATAATATTTTGCCTCTTCTTCATGGAAACAAATACATCTGAGATGTTACTAGAATTCTGACTCTATTTACCCTCTCTCTAATGGTTGCTTAAAGCACTTTTATTTGAAGAACAGGTAAATGTTTGTTCCATGAGGGTATTTGTATTTTCTAACTGTTTTGAAATTGTATTTACTGATTTAAATAAGAATCAATATTAATATTTTAATTCTTCCTATGTTGCTTATCACATAATTATTTTAAATTTCTTTATGTACATCTGTGCTGAATAATCTTTATAATCTATATTTCTAAGTTTTTGTAAAAATGTATTTTCTGTAGCCACAAAGACAATTTCTAGATAGTGCTTTTCTAGAAGTAAGGGGATAATTACTCATGATTAAAGTTAAGATGTTAAACTTACAAAACAAACCCATATGTCAAAGAAAAGGCAGATGATTGGCTTTATTTTCAATGTATATGTCTGTGCTTTTAAAAAGTATTTTCTTCCTTTACCTAAATGATTTTCTGGGTGTATCAGTTGGTTTTCACACTGCTGATAAAGACATACCCGAGACTGGATGATTTATAAAGAAAAAGAGGTTTAATGGACTCACAGTTCCACGTAGCTAAGGAGGCCTCACAATCATTGCAGAAGACAAAAGTCTACATGGCAGCAGGCAAAAGAGCAAATGAGAGAAAAGTGAAAAGGAAAATGCCTTATAAAACCATCAGATCTTGTGAGACTTATTCACTACCATGAGAACCATATGGGGGAACTTGCCCCCATGATCCAATTACTGCCACTGGGTCTCTCCCACAACATATGGGAATTATGGAAGCTACAATTCAATATGAGATTTGGGTGGGGACACAGCCAAACCATATCATTGGGCAAGAAACAGCTGGCAAAAGAAGGAAAGGTACAAACTATGCCAGGCCTTACCACAGAATATTCACCTTATGCCATCATAGATTTGCACATTTTTAGTTGAAAATGAGGGTAAAATCAGAAAAAAAGTTATGTTATTAGTTGTTTATGGTAGTATCAGATTGATTCTGAAAACTGTGTTTCAAATTCATGCAATCAATAGCTATAGCAAAAATGCTTTATACAATAGCAGATTTTATATTTTACCATCAACATTATATTTGAGAATCAATAAGATAAAACAAGCAGAAAATAATATGAACAGACAAATTGACAATATACCTGTTAAGATGGAGATAACTCTAATTCAAAATATTATTATATCAAAATTGCTTCCTTATAGTGGTTGAGGAATCTATAGACATTAATAACAGAGAAGAGTTAATAGCTCTAGTTACTCTCTGAAGATGAAGGCTTGAGCTGCAAATATGTCCCAAACAAACTAATGAAGATCTATCATTCATAGTCTAAATGAATATGTGATATGCCTATCCCCTTGATATCTCAGCATTACAAATTATTGCTTTTCCTCACTCCATTGGAAGTAGGCATAGCCGTAAAACTTCCTTTGATCATTGCAATTTGAACAGAAGAGGTATGTGTTACTCTTGGGAAGATGCAAAGAAGAGTCCCTATATTCTCTTTCCTCCCAAACTGAGGAGGAAAGTTCCACATGATGGAGTGTTCAACTACCTGAAGTCTTTGTGCACGGAATACACCAACATGAAATGAGAATGTACTGTGAGGAAAAAATAAATGTATTTCTTTATTAAAGTCTCAGAAATTGGAAGATGGTTGGTCATTACGAATAACCTAGAGTATTCCAACAGATATCAGATATTTTGAAAATGTTACGGAAACAATATGTAAATCTGAACTCACTGAAAACACATCACCTCAAGAGTCCATTGTGAAAATACTGAGATTAAAGAAAGACATACCTTTCATTACATGAAAGCTCTGGTTTTTAAAAACTTGCCCGTATTTGATTACAGATCTCAATGAAAGTGTAAAGAGGAACTAGGATGCTGACTTTGAGAGTTCCTCAATGAAGTGGCCCAGTGAGTCACTCTACCGTGAAACCTAAAATGTACAATCTTCACTCAGATACCCATTCTTTCTAAACAGCCTTAAGTTGCCCCAATATTAAATACAAGCTGACAATTAAGAAGCACTAGATTCCCAGGCAAGACGGATGAATAGGAACAGTTCTGGTCTGCAACTCCCAGCGAGACCAATGCAGAAGGCGGGTGATTTCTGCAATTCCAACTGAGGTACCCGGCTCATCTCATTGGGACTGGTTAGACAGTGGGTGCAGCCCAGGGAGGGCGATCAGAAACAGGGTGGGGTGTCGCCACACCTGGGAAGCGAAAGGGGTTGGGGAACTCCCTCCCCTAGCCAAGGAAAGCTGTGAACATTTCAATAAAGAGAAAGAAGAGCTTGGGAACCAAGCAGAATTTAATTTGACATCTGTGTCTGCCATTTCCTCCCATGTAGCTTCAGGAAAGTCACTCCACTATTATGAACCTCAGGATTTCTTATCTCTTGAATGAGAATAATTTCCACTTTGCAAAGTTTTTTTTAATAAAATAATTTTTAAAGGGCTTACATCACCTGTTGCTAAAAAGTTTTATAATATTATTTTCTCTTAAAGAGTGTTCCAATACCCCCATTAACAGTAGCATTTTACAATTACCATTATTATTAATATGTAAGTATTACCCCATGAAAAGGAAGTAAGTTACTTTTTAGATATTTTTAAATTCCTGAATAATTAGAGTAAAATACAAATCATTCTAAACATTCTAATCTGTGGTCGATATTAAAAGGTAGAAGCAGTCATTTTTAAAATATACATATTTTACTCACTTTTATTTATTTGGAAAGTAGCAAATGACAGACTAGAAAGTATTTTCAGCTAATGATATGCCTTTTTTTATGATCGTTATGTGATATAAGGAGCTATTAAGAATGTTCAATGATGGAGTCAAAAGCTCTTAACTATGTGTTTCTAGAAAAGATATGCCATAGTTCTGTTACGTGTCATTGGAAATTTATTTTCTCACTTTATATTTTAGTTTCACAAATCGAAAGATACGAATGTGAAAGTATATCAGCAATTTTAAAGATTGATGTGCCATTAACTTGGAGGATCTAATGAAAGCTCCGGTCCTTTCCTGTGGAATAAATGTGCATAGACCTTAACACACAAACTTTGGACTTCACGGCCCTCCAAAATTCCAAGCCTAACATCTTAGTAATGCTTTCAATTAATAAAGGAAACCTGAGACAATTTTGTTATCTTAATTGATAAGTTGATGCTGCCATCTAGTGGCAATGCTTAACAACTTAAGAAGAAACCACGACAGTGTTATTTCGCTGGGAATACTGTTTACCCTTAAACGTATTCTGTATTCGCTAAGAGCATGTTAACAAGAGTTGACTTAAGAGTTAAAGATATACAATATATTTCTTAGTGAAATATTTTATATAAACTTAGAGTAATTTTTTAATTAAAATTTAGTTTTGAAAAATATAATCCTTATACAAATCTGATAATTTCTCAGGAAAAAAGTTCTACAGAAAGTTGTCACTGGAGTAACTCAGTTGAATTAGTTATTTCTTTTCCTTCACAATTTCTTACCTAAGATTACTAAAAGGAAGGAGAAAAGGATGTTTCATAAATAATATGAAAATGTATATTTCATGAGTACTGAAAGCAAACATTATAAAAGCAAAATTTAATGGGTTGGGAAATTGAACTAATATTTAAAATTAGGTTTTGAAAACTCAGGATGTAAGGTCATTTTGAGGAAATCTTTACTAACAGAGAAACCGGAGAAAGATGAATCAACATTAATAGTTAATCTTTCCTTACATTTCTTTCCAAATGGATCTGAAGAAAACAAAAGCCTGTTATGCTCCGTTGGGTTCAACAAACTTTTATTGAATAACTACTCTGTGCCAGACACTGTACAAGGTTCTCATGATAAACAAGTAGTAGCTCCTTGGGACATATGATTAGGAAGAATTCCTCTATTTCTAGGTAAATAAAATTGTGTTTTAATCAGGAGCAGATGATGTCCCATGCCTTTCCAACATCCATAAAGATGACTATATGAATATCAATAATAATAAGAAAAAAAATCAGCAATAACAAGAATAGAAACATCATCCAGCACTTCTAAATACTCTCCTGCAATATCTTATTTAATTTTGATAGTAATACAATGCCCTAGATAATGTTATCCCCATTTTATAGAGAAGAATACAAAAAAATTTCTATAAATTATGTGTAATTTTGGATACTGATTTTATTTTGAATTTTGCAGTATGTAGCCTCACTTATGTAACCTTAATATAGTTGTGCCATTCGTATTTAAATTTGTGAATATAATATAGATATTAGATTCTCCAGAGAGACAGAACCTATCAGAGATAGATAGATGTAGACACAGATAGAGATATAGATGCCTAAGAGGGAATTTATTAGGGGAACTGGTTCATGATTACGAAGTTTAAGTCCCAGGCAGATAATCTGCAAGCTAGAGACCTTAGGATGACAGTAGCATGGCTCAGTCCAAGCCTAAAGGCCTCAAAAACAGGGAAGCTGATGTTGTAACTCTAAGTCTGAGGCTTGAGGACTGAGAACCTGGGACCACTGGTGCAAATCCTGGAGTCCAAACGCTGGAGAGCCTGGAGTTCTGATGTCCAAGAGCAGGAAAAGAAGAGTGTCCCAACACTAGGAGAGAGAGAAAAAAAATAGAATTTGCCTTTCTTCTGTCTTTTTGTTTCATCCAAGCCCCAAGACGATTGGATGGTGCCTGCCCCCATTGAGTGAGGGATGATTTTCCCACCTCAGTCTACCTACTCACATGCCAATCTCTTCTGGAAACACCCTCTCAGACACACCCAGAAATAATTATTTACCAGCTATCTAGGCATCCCTTAGTCCAACCAACTTGACACACCTGCAATTGACTGTCACATCCTCCTCTCTCTTTCTCTCTCTCACATACTCACACCATGCACACACATCACTGAATCTAATAGGATTAAAAATAATCTTTTCCTCTCTCTTTCTTCAAAACATCTTTAAACCTTTTTCTTTCTTTCCTCAAAGTTCCATTTTAAATATGTTTGTCTTCCCAATCAGATGTCCCTTTTCCCTTCTTTTGGCAAAAAAAAAAACACTCTTTTAGTGGTTCTAAGATAACTTGTCCCTCCCACACCTGGTGTGGCTGTCAACCATGAGGCCCTGAATCTTCAAACCACAGAGGTAGGCCCCTGATCCAGGAGAATAAGTCAGTTGGAGGATACCAGTACTCTGGACACAACTAACAGGTAAGTAGAAAAAAATTGGGTCAATCAAAGACAGTTTTTGTTTCTTTTGAATGGTGTCAAATAGTGACAGAAAAGAAATGAGTAGAAAACTTCTCCTAACTATATTGTCCCAATTTTATTTTCCTTTAATGAGCTAAAGCTTAAAAGCCAAACCAATACAATAGTCGACCAAAGGTGTTACGTGGATGTTCTTTCCCTACCCACCCCCAAAAAAGGGATTTTATCAGTTCAGATTAGGTTTGCCTACATGTGTTAGGAAATTTAAAGTAGCAGTAACTTAAACAAGTTGTTTAAACTTTATTTTTCTTTCTTATAAAATGAGTAAGTAAATAGCCAATGTAGGGCAGATAAGGCTACTATACAGTGACAGGAGCCCGAATGTTTCCCCATAGTACAAAATGACTGCCACTGAATCTACATTTAGGTCACAAAAAGGAGACAGGTGACAAGAAGAATGCTAACCTAAACATCTAAGGAGACTTCCCAGAAGAACCTCACACATTTTCTTCTTACATTTCAGTACTTTGTCATGTGGCAACAGCCACGTACAAAGGAGATTGAAAAATGTAGTGTTCTATCTTGGTTGCAATGTGACCAGCTAAAAATGGGGCTTCCATTAAGCAAGAGGAGAATGAAAGATGGAATTCCTCTTTAGTAGTATTTGCTACAGAGGTAAATGTAATTTATTTGGCTTCTTTTCTTCTTAGCCATTTTTTCCCCTTAGATGATCTTCCTTTCATGCTGGCATTTGTATGATAGCTAAAAGCACAAGTTTTGCTGTCTGAGGACCTGAGTTAGAATCCCAACCCCACTGTAAATAAACTGTATGATCCTGTCTCCATCATGAGATATATTTGATCCTTCTTTTTTTGTAGGATAATGATTCCTAGCTCTTCTTTTTTTGTAGTAGTGCTGATCCCTAGCTCTTCTTTATTTGTAGTAATACTAATCCCTAGCTGGTTCGCCATTAAATGCACGCTTCTCTCCCTCCAAAGGAGAAAAGAACTTTTCCTGTCTCATTTACTGCTGTATCCTCAGGACTTGGAATAATGCCTGCTAATCAGGAGTCACCATATACATATTTTTTAACTTAATTTTGACAACTAAAAATCCTCTTGCGAAGAATATCTAATAGCACATAATTTATTTTAAAATATTTAGGATTTATCTAGTTAAAAGCAAGCTAAAAATAACATTTAATATAAAATCCTATAAAAATCTTGTAAAAATATATATACCTACATATAAGAAAATGCTGGAAGAGTGTAAACAATGGATTTAGCATAGATTATTTATACAAACAAAATTACATGACAAGAACGTGTGTTTTTCTAGATCCCATTGTCTTATAAAATAAACTATCTGCATTTTTATATTTCAGAATCCTATATATATGGTACAAACATATAAATTTTAAATAGTAGAAAAAAATATCTATTTTGATGTATATTACCATTGTTTTCATATGTGAGTAGTGAAATTACATGTGAGTTTTACTTTCTTTGTGTTCTGCTTTCCAAACATTCTCTAATAATTTTAGGTCTCTAAAAGTATGTATTTATTGCTTTTCCTAGGCAACAAGAGAAAGTATTTTTTTAATTTAGGCCCATATATTTTATATTCTTATTAGGCCAAAGACGTTTTGATTCAATTAATACATTAAATTATATAATAATCTTACTAAGTGGAACAATTTTCTCATTTCAAGAAAAATGTTGTTTACTACTTTTAAAATATGGTAAAAACTGTGGTTGGAAAAAGTGATTTCTGAAATCTCTAAGAGGGTGCAAAGCCTCTCATCACACTCAGGCTACAGACAGTCTGTTTTCTGTCAACATCATTAGATTTGCCTTCAACCCATTATTTTTGGCATTGGAATTGCTCAAGTGCAATTCAAGGAGATTGCAGTTACTGACCCATTGTTCTGAGTCCAGACAAGACCGCTTTCCATCTGAACATGTCTATTGGTCTCTCCTTCAATGAGACACCCATGAAATATTGAGAGCCTTGGGGAAAGTTGAGTGTCCACACATATCATCCCAATGTGTTCCAGGGAAGTTTGTAAACACTGGAGAAGATCTGATAGCACCTGATTCATTCTGAAATTGGGGTTCTGTATGAAGAGTTATTTTAGATGCACAGGATCAGCTCTGCATCCACTTTTCTGACCAGAAACTCTTCCTTAATTTCAAAGAAACAAAAAGATGCTAAAACTATTTTAAAATTTTGTCTATTATATTTCTTTTTCAATTTGGAAACAACAAAAATGGGTAACATGAAAATAGGCTGTAAATTTTCTGTATTTTAATTTACCTCTAACTTTTCCATACCCAGTGCCTCTGAATTTTAAAAATTTTTCTATTTTACTATTCACTTTCTTGCATTTTATTTCTAGTTTCTATAATAAGCTATTCCCATTTATTTTTACCTAAAAGAACTAAGAAAAAAACTAAATATCAACAAATAAAGTAATAGCTGAAATGACTTAAGAGTCAAATACACAGAGAGTCATCTGAAAATTATTGCCAGGATTTGTCTCTGTATGAAATAGTAAGATTCTAGGGTTTTTATTTTTATTGTTGCTCCTCTTTTCCTTTATATTTTATATTTTCTGTTATAATGATGATTTATTTTGTTTTTAGAATATAAAAATAAAGAAAATAGGCATAAAATAAATTCAAAGGAATATAAGAAAAAGAATTCCTTTTATTTAAAAAATTATTTTTAAGCAAAGTAACCTTTTATATTTTCAATTCTGTAGATGGGAATGGGGAACACATGTTTTTTTTCCAATAAATCACTCCTGGTGTGGACATTTACATTATTAAATATAACTAGTGTGCTAGTAATAACAGTCGCTAGATGGTTCTAATATTCATTAGACTTTATCATATTCCTAATAATGAAGATTTTGGGGAGACATATAATTGTTCTGACTCTGTAGGTAACTAAAAATTTTTATCATTTATAGAAAGATGATGAAATGGAGGTTTTTCCAAAAGTAAGTAGTAAAATAAAAGTCAGATGGAAGCATAGAAATATGCCATCCCCTAAATTTTGCAAATGGCTTAGTATCTTGGGATGATGACGAGGAAGTCTAACTATGTCTGGAAGCTTTTCCTTTTATCTACTTTTTGTTCTTGATGAGAATTAAAATTGTAATTTTCTTTTTAAAAAACTTCTTTTTGGTAATCATCCTCCCCATGGCATCTTTTACTTTTTTTATTATTATTATACTTTAAGTTTTAGGGTACATGTGCACAACGTGCAGGTTTGTTACATATGTATACATGTGCCATGTTGGTGTGCTGCACCCAGTAACTCGTCATTTAGGATTAGGTATATTTCTTAATGCTATCCCTCCCCACTCCCCCCACCCCACAACAGGCCCCGGTTTGTGATGTTCCCCTTCCTGTGTCCATGTGTTCTCATTGTTCAATTCCCACCTATGAGTGAGAACACGCAGTGTTTGGTTTTTGTCCTTGCAATAGTCACTGAGAATGATGGTTTCCAGCTTCATCCATGTTCCTACAAAGGACATGAACTCTTCATTTTTTGTGGCTGCATAGTATTCCATGGTGTATATGTGCCACATTTTCTTAATCCAGTCTATCATTGTTGGACATTTGGGTTGGTTCCAAGTCTTTGCTATTGTGAATAGTGCCACAATAAACATACGTGTGCATGTGTCTTTATAGCAGCATGATTTATATTCCTTTGGGTATATACCCAGTAATGGGATGGCTGGGTCAAATGGTATTTCTAGTTCTAGATCCCTGAGGAATCACCACACTGACTTCCACAATGGTTGAACTAGTTTACAGTCCCACCAACAGTGTAAAAGTGTTCCTATTTCTCCACATCCTCTCCAGCACCTGTTGTTTCCTGACTTTTTAATGATTGTCATTCTAACTGGTGTGAGATGATATCTCATTGTGGTTTTGATTTGCATTTCCCTGATGGCCAGTGATGATGAGCATTTTTTCATGTGTTTTTTGGCTGCATAAATGTTTTCTTTTGAGAAGTGTCTGTTCATGTCCTTCACCCACTTTTTGATGGGGTTGTTTGTTTTTTTCTTGTAAATTTGTTTGAATTCATTGTAGATTCTGGATATTAGCCCTTTGTCAGATGAGTAGATTGCAAAAATGTTCTCCCATTCTGTAGGTTGCCTGTTCACTCTGATGGTAGTTTCTTTTGCTGTGCACAAGCTCTTTAGTTTAATTAGATCCCGTTTGTCTATTTTGGCTTTTGTTGCCATTGCTTTTAGTGTTTTAGACATGAAGTCCTTGCCCATGCCTATGTCCTGAATGGTATTGCCTAGGTTTTCTTCTAGGGTTTTTATGGTTTTAGGTCTAACATTTAAGTCTTTAATCCATCTTGAATTAATTTTTGTGTAAAGTGTAAGGAAGGGATCCAGATTCAGCTTTCTACGTATGGCTAGCCAGTTTTCCCAGCACCATTTATTAAATAGGGAATCCTTTCCCCACTTCCCTGGTGGTCTAGTGGCTAGGATACTTCTTTATTTATCAAGCTGTAGATGAGAGGTTTCAACATGGGGATGTACAGAACACCAACACTATTTTATTGAGTTCCGGGTAAAAAGTTGCACCTGGTCGAACGTAGCTAAAGAAGAGAGACCCATAAAAGATGGAAACAGCTGTTAAGTGTGAAGAGCAGGTGGAAAAAGTTTTGTTCTTCCCATTAGCAGAGCAGATCCTCAGAATGTCAGTAAGGATGTAAAAATAGGAGATTATAATGGTCAGGCTACTGACAACTAGTACAGCTCCAGCCACAATGAAAACTAACAATTTATTGATCCGGGCGTCAGCACACACGAGAGAAAGAAGGAGAGACATGTCACAGAAGAAATGATTGATAATGTTGGAGTGAAAAAAGGGAAAATGAAAAGCAGCCGTTGTGTGAGTTATGGTGTTGAAGAAATCAGCTGCATAACGTACAACCACCAGCTGGATGCACAGTCTCTATTACATGGCCACTGAGTACAACAATGGGTTACAGATGGCCACATAATTGTCATAGGCCATGGAAGCCAAGAGAAGATACTCAATGACTATGAAGAACCCAAAGAACCACTGCTGCAAGGGACAGCCCAGGAAAGAGATGGCTTTCCTTACAGCAAATAAGTCAGTGAGCAACTTGTGGCCCACAACGGATGAGAAGCAGATGTCCACAAAGGACAGGTAGCTGAGGACAAAGTACATAGGTGTGTGAAAGCAGGAATCGAGCCAGATGCGAACCATCATGCCCAAGTTTTCTGTCATAGTAATGAGGTAAAAAAGGTAGAAATGGTAAGAAAAGGAAGACTTGCAGCTGAAGATGATACCTTAAGCCTACAAAAATGAATTCTGTGATCCTTTTATATTTCCATCAGCCATTGGTTGATTTTAGTCTCTATAGTGAGAAAAATAGAGAACTGATCATGCATTCAACTTTGATTTTTTAAAATCATAACATATTGCACAGGAAAAGAAATATAGGTGGAACTAACTTAGAAACATTGATATTTTTTAAAAAGCCCAAATAAAATGCTAGGACATTAGATATATCACAGTTCTAAAAAATAGTATGGTTTAAGCGTTTTATAGAGAAATTTGGGACTTAACTAAGAAATGGTTAAAACTTTATAAACCTATATAAATTAATCACTACCCTTACAGATTATAGGAAAAAGCATTATTATTATTTCAATCGAATTTGAACAAGAATTTGATAAAATGCAGCTCTCAAGAAGAACTTTCCAAAACTGGAAATAAAAATAACTATTTAATTTAATACAAAGAATCTTCCAGAAAAAAAAATGTGTGTAGTGTTAAGACATTAGAAACATTCACATTATAATCAGACACTATTTAAAGATGTCCATAACATATGTATTTAACATTTATATTAAAGATTGTAAAATTCTAAAAAAAAAAAAGATAAATATAAGTACTGTAGTAAAAGTAGAAAGAAATAACTGTCACTATTAGCAGGCAAAATAATCAGCCACATAGAAAACCTAGGAGAATCAACTGTTAAGATAAATTTTTAGAAAAAAATAATAAAAGTTTAACAAGGTAGTAGAATAGAAAATCAATATGGAAAATCAAAAATAATCAAATGTAAATTATCTCAGCAAAAATCATATTAATCAACTGGAATTAATAAAAAAAAAAAACCACTAATAAGCCCAACAAAGCATTTTCAAGATTTCTACGAAGAAAAATACAAATAATGGAACTTTAATGAAATAAAAAAAATGACAAAATAAGCCAGAAAAACATAATATTTTTGTTTTTTGATCTCTTCTGGATCAAATGACTTAGTCATAAAGAGTCTTTTTCTCTTGGAAAAAATAAATTAGCTCCTATTGGGAAAGTAAAAATCTAACTGGCCATTCTTCACACTGGACTAACAGACTTAGATAAATACAACTGTAGAGTCAGCAGGAAACAAGATTTCTCCATAGAATATTTTGCAGCTGTAAAGTGTCCCAACAACACTTTTCTTTGAGTAATTACTATTTTATTACTCAAGAATGACTTTCTATTCTAAAATAATAGGCCATCTAATTTTCTTTTAAATTATATTAGTAGATAAAACAGCTTACTCTCTTCTAGAAGATCTAAGTCACCTTGACATAGCAAAGCAGTCTTATTTCCAACACAGATACAGAACATCAAACAAGGGGCTTCAAGATGCAATATTCCACATTTACCTTAACTTTGTAATTCCTAAGGAAGAAGGACCCTGTGTCTGCTTTGTAATTTGAAACTGATGTTGACTGCTTTATAGACAACCCCACTTTGCTTGGTGTATATCAAAAATTCTCTTGGTATAAATTTTACCTAAACTCAGCCCTTCTCAATGATCCTATAATTACTATCTTTCCTTCATTTAATGAGACGTCCGTAGTTTATAAGCTGTGTGGTCTCCCTCATTGTGATGGATCAATAAAGGTGATTTGGTGAGAAAAAGGCTTGCTCCTGGTTTTCTTAGGCTATTTGGGTTAAGATACTCACCAAATTATTTCACAAATTTAATGTAGTTCCAACCAAAATCGAAACATATTTTAATAAAACAATTTGATTTAAAAATGTATAAAGAAGAAAAATGTTCAACAATAGCCAACACAATTTTGAAAAAGAAAACCAAAGACAAAGGATGTGTTATGCCAGGTATCTGCACAGATTATAAAGCTACCATAATTATAACAACAAGGTGTTGTTCCTAGACTATATGGAAATATGAGTAGAAGACCCAAAAGCAGATTCATGAACGTATGCCAATTTAACATAAATGTTTATTTCAAATTGGGAAAATAATGATGAATTAAACATAAAAGGTATTATAATATTTGAATGCTTTTGAAAAAATAACAAATATTAAAACTCTACCTTACACTACCTAAATTAAATAATCCTAACTATAAATATGTGACAAGATATAATAAAGATAGCATTACAATTTTCTTGTAAGAATGGTCTTCTTAAATAGTACATAAAGGTCATTTAATTTTTTTTAATTAGCTACATTTATTTATATATATATTATTATACTTTAAGTTCTAGGGTATATGTGCACAATGTGCAGGTTTGTTACATATTTATACATGTGCCATGTTGGTGTGCTGCACCCATTAACTCTTCATTTAAATTAGGTATATCTCCTAATGCTATCCCTCCCCACTCCCCCCACCCCACAACAGGCCCCGGTGTGTGATGTTCCCCTTCCTGTGTTCAAGTGTTCTCATTGTTCAATTCCCACCTATGAGTGAGAACATGTGGTGTTTGGTTTTTTGTCCTTGCAATAGTTTGCTGAGAATGATGGTTTCCAGCTTCATCCATGTTCCTGCAAAGGATATGAACTCATTCGTTTTTATGGCTGCATAGTATTCCATTGTGTATATGTACCACATTTTCTTAATCCAGTCTATCATTGTTGGACATATGGGTTGGTTCCAAGTCTTTGCTATTGTGAATAGTGCCACAATAAACATACGTGTGCATGTGTCTTTATAGCAGCATGATTTATATTCTTTTGGTTATATACCCAGTAATGGGATGGCTGGGTCAAATGGTATTTCTAGTTCTAGATCCCTGAGGAATTGCCACACTGTCTTCCACAATGGTTGAACTAGTTTACAGTCCCACCGACAGTGTAAAAGTGTTCCTATTTCTCCCCATCCTCTCCAGCATCTGTTGTTTCCTGACTTTTTAATGATTGCCATTCTAACTGGTGTGAGATGGTATCTCATTGTGGTTTTGATTTGCATTTCTCTGATGGCCAGTGATGATGAGCATTTTTTCATGTGTCTGTTGGCTGCATAAATGTCTTCTTTTGAGAAGTGTCTGTTCATTCCCTATTTAACAAATGGTGCTGGGAAAACTGGCTAGCCATATGTAGAAAGCTAAAACTGAATCCCTTCCTTACACCTTATACAAAAATTAATTCAAGATGGATTAAAGACTTACATGTTAGACCTAAAACCATAAAAACCCTAGAAGAAAACCTAGACAATACCATTCAGGACATAGACATGGGCAAGGACTTCATGTCTAAAACACCAAAAGCAATGGCAACAAAAGCCAAAATTGACAAATGGGATCTAATTAAACTAAAGAGCTTGTGCACAGCAAAAGAAACTACCATCAGAGTGAACAGGCAACGTACAGAATGGGAGAAAATTTTTGCAATCTACTCATCTGACAAAGGGCTAATATCCAGAATCTACAAAGTGCTCTTACAATTCTTTAAGCTGCATCAATTATTTACTTAAAGTCTTCCTACTTTTATGATGTAGGCTTTTATCATAAATTACCCCTTAGTACTGCTTTATTTTCTATTGCATACGTTTGGTATATAGTGTTTTCTTTTTAACTGTTTCCTTTTGGAAAAACAAATTCTTCTTAACTTCTTCATTGGCCCAATGGTAATTCAGAAGCATATTGTTTAATTTTCATATATTTGCATAGTTCCCGAAGTTCCTCTTGTACTGATTTCTAGTTTTATTCTATTGTGGTCAGAAAAATGTATGTGATATTATTTCAATTGTTTTTAATTTTTTGAGACTTCTGAATTTTTTGTGGCCTACTAAATGGTCTATAAGGAACTCAAACAACTTTTTATCAAGTAATCATAAGAATAATCACATTTGAAAATGGGCAAAAGCTCTGTATAGATGTCTCTCAAAAGAAGATATACGAATGACAAACAGTTATATGAAAAAAATTACTCAACATCACTAATCATCAGAGAAATGCAAACCAAAACTGTGATAAGATATTCCCTCACTCCAGTTAAAATGCCTTTTATCAAAAAGTCATACAATAATGTGTGCTGGTGAGGATCTGGAGAAAGGAGAACCCTCATACTCTTTTGGTAGGAATGTAAATTAGTACAGCTACTATAGAAAACAGTATAGAGCTTCCTCAAAAAAACACAAGTAGAACTACCATATGATTCAGCAATTTCACTGCTGGGTACATACCCAAAAGAAAATATATTTGTATGTCAAAGAGCTATCTGCACTCCCATGTTTATTGCAGCACTAGTCACAATAGCCAAGAGATGGAATCAACCTAAGTGTTCATAAGCAGATGAATGAAGAAAATGTAGTACATATACACTACAAAATATTATTCAGCCATAAAAAGAATGAAATCCTGTCATTTGCAGCAACATGGAGGTAACTGGAGGACATCATGTTAAGCGAAATGAGCCAAGCACAGAAAGTCAAACATCAATGGTCTCATATGTTGGAGCTAAAAAAAATAAACACATAAAAGAAAATATATATATATATTGATATATATATGTCATATATATATGATATATATATGTCATATATATATGATATATATATATATATATGTCATATATATGATGGAACACTACTCAGCCAAAAAAAGGAATTAGTTAATGGCATTCACAGCAACCTGGGTGAGATTGGAGACTATTATTCTAAGTGAAGTAACGCAGGAATGGAAAACCAAACATCATTATATTCTCACTCATAAGTGGGAGCTAAGCTATGAGGATGCAAAGGCATAAGAATTACACAATGGACTTTGGGGACTAATGGGGAAAAGGGTGGGAAGGGAGTGAGGGATAAAAGACTACAAATAGGGTGCAGTGTATACTGCTGGGGTGATGGGTGCATCAAAATCTCAAAAAAATCACCACTAAAGAACTTACTCATGTAACCAAACACCACCTGTTCCACAATAACCTATGGGGGAAAAAAAGAATATATAAATGTGTCTGGAAGGATATATACCACATGAGCAGTCATTATCTCTGAGAACAAAGGGGCAGGGAACCCTATTTGAGTGAGTAACTAAAGCTAGCCCTACTTACAATTTTAAGATTTTGTTACAAAGAGAAAATATACAGTTGATCCTCAAACTATACATGAGTCAGGAGCACCAACCCTCTAAGCAGTTGAAAATCCATGTATAACATTTGACTCCCCAGAAACTTAACTACTGATAGCCTATTGTTCACTGGAAGCCTTACTGATGCTAACACAGTCAATTAACACATATTTTGCATATGTTTTATATACTGTATTCTTGCAATAACATAAGCTAGAGAAAATAAACAGTATTAAAAATCTTAAGAAAGAGAATATGTATGTATTATTCATTAAATAGAAGTGGATCATTTTAAAGGTCTTTATTCTTGTCTTCATGTTGAGTAGGCTAAGAGGGAATAGGAAGAGGAAGATGTGGTCTTTCTGTCTTAGGGGTGGCAGAGGTAGAAGAGGTGGAGTAGATAGAAGAGGGGGCAGGAGAGACAGGCACACTGGGTGTAATTTTTGTTTTAAAAAATCCATGTAAAACCAGACCTCCAGAGTTCAAACCCATGTTGTTCAAAGGGCAACTGTACATGCATTATATTTGTAATTAAAAACAATCCAAAACCTGACTAAAAATAATGAAAATCAAAAGTAATTCCTTCAAGTATTTCAGCAATTAAAAAAGAAAATAGCTGCAATCAGCCTAGTATAAAAACAAGAACCAAGAAATGTGTAAAACCCAGAAGGTAAAGGATGAGAAACAATTTCAAAATATGCATTTAGAGTTCTAGATTTCTAAAATTCAAAGAAGCTAAGAGAGCCCCACCCTCGTCCTTTATAAATAAGTGAGGCTCCAAGATGTCTCACCCAAGACTACAGAAATGGTGGCAAATACAAAATCACTTTCCACCATGCAGTGCTGAAGACTGGATATGACTGAAGCTACAGTGAATATTGTACAACAACAATTGTAAAGTATTCATGACCTACCAGACTGCGCCTCAAGTTCTTCACAAATGACCATATATTTGATTTCCACCCAAGCTGGGATAAGAAATATTTGGCCCTCCTCATTTCATAGAGCAGGAAATCAAAACTCTGTGGAAGATGATGAAGCAGTCCTAGCACTGCTACTTCCTTAGGGTGCTGAGATTAAGATATTGCCATGTCTGAATTTACAGCCTCCATTATTACTTTACCACTGTGGCATTCCATCGGGACATTACAAAAATAATGGGAGATCTTTCAATGTCCCAATCCAATCCTGTATGCTGTTTCTGAAGTATAGAATCCATCAATTCAAATGCACATTTAACAGTAAAGAGGCTACTACAAAGAAAGCAATGAGATTCCAGATAAATTTTGTGTAGGGCCCAAGTTAGCTTAAATACAGCAGCTCTCAAACACCTGCAAATTAAGCTCTTATTTATAGTCATCTCATTACCTTTCACACCTCATGCCTTCATGGTGATGCAGTGTTCCATACTGATGACACCACTCCCAGAATGGGTGCGGAACCTCTCTCCTGTTCAGGGCACATTCATCTATAAATGTGGACTAAGGAAAAGAATAAAGTTATTTGGACTTGAAGACAAATTTAACTTGATCATAGCCCCTTTGTGCATCTTACAAGATTTCACATTATTGTTGCTAGATTTTAATGCAGTATTCTAACCAGTTAATATCTGACATTGGATATTCCTCCATGTCACATTTTAAAGGTCAATCATTTTCATTTTCCTGTAAATACATTTCATTCATTTTTGTATTCTCAAAGAGTAAACAGAGAGACAGAAATGGATTTTAAAATTGACCTAAACTTACATTCTAATGAAATCTTTTCTTCTTTGAAGATGACAAAAAGGATTAAAATTTAAATGGAGTAGAAACTGTACTCCTTTTAAATAGGCATTCTATCTCCCTCCTCAACCTGTGACTGCACAAAGAAGAGGTCAGACTTTCTGGGAGTTACTTGATTTTGTTCTTAATCTTCTTCCCAATAAACTAGTAAAATTCCACTCTGGAATAAATTCAGCATCTTAATCACTTGTATTAAAATTTGCAGGAGCAGTTATATCATTTTTCATTCTGGAAGAACTTATGTCCCCAAAGTATGCTATACCCTGGGGATTTCATCGTTAAGAGAAGTAAATTAAGATATTCTTGCTGTCTTCAAATGCTGTTTCAAAATCCACTGGGATCAGCTTATTTGTTTTCTGTGTTTGACTGGTAAACTTTTTCCCCCACTTCTTTCCTAAACAGTTAAATACTTACAGAGTAAAACTTTTGCACAATGATGTAACAACTGCTAAGATTTCCCAACAAGAAGTACTGCAAAATTTTTGCAACTGCTCAGCCAAAGTATACTACACTACAGGATTAGCCACAAGTATACCTTAGACCCCCACTTCCCAAATGCCCTGCTTCTAAAAACTCTGAAACCAAAAGAAACGAATGCAGACAGAAACATTTACATAAGGTGTAATGTCGTAATGTTGAGGAAGAAGTCAAATCAAGTATAATTTCAGTCATTTTCAAACTTTGCCTTCAGAAATCTTTATCAATTCATTCATGACTGCTTAATCACCTCACCCTTTTTAGATACCAATGTCTTTGGGAAAATGTTCTCTCAACTTAGGTATTCTCTTTCTTTTATTTATTTATTTTTCACTCACATGATGTATACTGAAACTTAATCATCATCACAACACATGTGCACTGTAAGTCACTACTGGTTCTTCATCCTCATCTCCTCTTCTCTTGCTTCAGTAGAAAAAAAAACACACAAACACACACATGTAAACACATTTTTTTCTTATTTTTAAATAACTTGCACATTAGGTTCTTTTCCAAATACAGTATCCTGCCCTTTCTCTGATTATGACGCATTATTTCACAGCTGTATATAATTTGTTTTTTCTTTCCTTATCCTTGAATGAGAATAGAGGATTAATCAATCCATAGGGTATTCACCTAGTGGAATTTGATAGCAGTAGAGAGAACTCTTACCCATCACATTAAATGCTCACAACCTGAACTTCTAAACCTCTGGATTATACAGCATTGTTTTTTACATTTTATTTTATTTTAATTTCAACTTTTATTTTAGATACAAGGTGTACATGTGCAGGTGTGTTACATGAGAATATCGCCTGATACTGAGGTTTGGGGTATGGATCTGGTCACCCAGGTCATGAACATAATACCCAATAGGTAGTTTTTCAACCCATGCTCCCAGACCTCCCTGACCCATTTATCAGTCCACAGTGTCTATTGTTCCCGTATTGATGTCCATGTGTGCTCAATATTTAGCTCCCGCTTACACAGGAGACCATGTGCTATTTGGCTTTCTATTATTACATTAATTTGCTTAGGATAATGGCCTCCAGCTCCATTCATGTTGCCACAAAGAACATAATTTCATTTTTTATGGTTGTGTAGTACTCCATGGTGTATATGTGCCACATTTTCTCTATCCAACTTACCACTGATGGGTACCTAGATTGATTCCATGTCTTTGTTCTTGTGAATTTTGTTTCAATGAATATATGAATGTGTGTGACTTTTTGGTAGAATGATTTATTTTCCTTTGGGTATATACCCAGTAATGGGATTGCTAAAAGTCACAAGGTAACTCTGTTTTAAGTTCTTTGAGAAATTTTCATACTGCTTTCCATGGTAGCTGAACTTACATTCCCACCAATAGTGTAGCAGTGTTCCCTTTTCTACACAGCCTTGTCATCATCTGTTGTTTTTGACTTCTCTTTTTTTTTTTTTTTTTTTTTTTTTTCACTCTATCTCCCAGGCTGGAATACTGTGGCTTGAACACACAGCTCACTGCAGCTTCAACCTCCCAGGCTCAAGTGATCCTCACGCCTCTGCTTCCCAAGAAACTGAGACTACAGACAGGGACAGGTGCCACCATACCTGGCTAATTTTCGGATGTTTTTTGTAGAGATAAGGTTTCACCATGTTGCTCAGGCTCATCTTGAAACTCCTGAGCTTAAGCGACCCACCCACGTTGGCCTCCCACAGTGCTGGGATTATAGGCATGAGTCATCATGTCAGGCCTAACTTTTTAATAATAATTATTCTAATTGGTGTGAGATGGTATCTCATTGTGGTTTTGATTTGCATTACTCTGATGAAAAATACTGAGCATTTTTTCATATGTTTGTTGGCTGCTTGTAAGTCTTCTTTTGAGAAAGTGTCTGTCATGTCCTTTGTTCACTTTTTAATGGGGCTATTTGTTTTTCACTTGTTGATTTAAGTTCCATATGGATTATGGATATTAGGTTTTTGTCAGATGCATAGTTTGCAAATATCTTCTCCCATCCTGTAAATTGTTGTTTACTACTCTGTCAGTAGTTTCTTTTGCTGTGCAGATGTTCTTTAGTTAAATCAGGTCCTCTGGTACATCGTGAAGGTTCAATTAATGATAATTATTAATGGAATCATTCAACAAATGGAACTGGGTTAACTGATCATCAAAGAAGGCACTTTAAGAATGCTTTGGGCTGGGTGCAGTGACTCACACCTGTAATCCCAGTACTTAGGGAGGCCGAGGTAAGCAGATCACCTGAGGTCAGGAGTTCGAGACCAGCCTGGCCAACATGGTGAAACCCAATGTTTACTAAAAATACAAAAATTAGCCAGGCGTGGTGGTGGGCACCTGTAATCCCAGCTACTCAGGAGGCTGAGACAGGAGAATCACTTGAACCTGGGAGGCGGAGGTTGCAGTGAGCTGAGATCAAGCCACTGCATACCAGCCTGGGTGACAAGAGTGAAATTCCATCTCAAAAACAAAAACAAAAAAAGAATGCTTTGATCTGCAAGTAACATTTAGATAGAATAAATTTACAATTTAATCTAACTCCTAAGGTACGCTAAATAGTAAACTCTTAAGAATCTATTTTAAAATTATTAAAGAAAATTTAACTGAGCATGGAATACTTTCATAAGCAAAGAAATATTGGGCAATATGTCAGATTTCTTGAATTGCAAGCAGCATAAATAGGAAATTCATTGCAAGAATACTGGGTAGCTCACAGGATGAATGGGAAGGTGAGAGAAACAGTATAAACAGAATAAGAGCCAAGACAGCTTTTAGTGTCCCTATGGCAGAGGCTGTACAATCAGGAGACCTAGCTGAAATGAATGAGTCTCAACCATTTTCCTACTGTGTCACTTGGCTTACAATTCAAAGGCCAGGGAGAAATAATTTTAGCTTAGGTATTTGTCTATACCATGCTGTGGGAAGTCAAGGACATCTCAGTCCCTCTAAAACTGTATTCTGTAAGTGAGAGATAATTCTCTAAAGGTAAATCCGGGTACCATTGTAAACATAGAGAACATGGATATCTACAACCAAGAAACAAGTACATATTATAGGGAAAAAATTGCGAAATATAATGCTTTACCAGAAAGTCAAATAGAAATCATATCATTAGAACTGCCATATATAGTGATAAATGGAATCATAAAGAAAAAAATCATAAAGAAAAATGTCACTTTTTTCTCTTTAAAAATTACCATTTTTGATTATCTTTTGCATGCCAAACTCAATGTTAAGTCATACATATCTTTTAAGTGTGTGTTTATGTATACATATTCAATCTGATGCATTTTTCCATTCTGTGGGTAGGTCATTCCTACAGGAAAATTTGGCCAGAGCTGTTTTTGAACCAATGCCTGTCCAACTTTAATGTCCATTAAACAAATAATTTAGTATTGGCCACATATTTACCTTTCAATCAACAAATATACATTGAACTCTTACTATATACCAGATTGTAGAATCTCAAAACAAAGCAGTAAACACAAAATATCACTCAGTCCAGTGTCTTGCCTCTATTAAGTATCACTTCTCAATCTGCAGTATAATTGGTATTCTAGTTCACCTACCTATAAGAAACTTCTTTCTTTCAAACTTCTTGCTGAATGAATCTTTTACCTCCTTGTTTCTCAGGCTGTAGATAAGGGGATTCAACATGGGGATCACTGCTGTGTAGAACAGGGAAACCACTTTATTGATGTTGATAGAGAAACTAGAGCTTGGACATACACAGATAAAGAAGAGTGTCCCATACAGGATGGAGACAGCCATCAGGTGTGAAGAGCAAGTGGAGAAGTCTTTGCGTCTCGCGTCAGCAGAGCGAATTCTCAGGATGGCAATGACAATGTAAATGTAGGAGACCAAGATGATCACACCACTGAGTACTCCCAGGGCACCCACCAAGATAAAAAGTAAACATTTATTAATATGGGTATCTGCATATGCCAGGGAGAGGACAGGGAGAAGGTCACAGAAGAAGTGATTGATGATGTTTGGACCACAGTAGAGTAGGCGAAAGGTGAAAGTCATATGGGTCATGGTGCTTATAAGGCCCACAGCATAAGGCCCACCACCAGCTGCACACAGACCTGTTGGGACATAATGAGTGTATACAACAAAGGCTTATAGATAGCCTATACCGGTCATATGCCATGGCAGCCAGAAGGAAACATTCAGTTACTACAAAATGGCCAAAAAACCATAACTGGGCAACACAACCAAAGAGATTACTTTTTTCTCCACGAAGATATCAGTCAACATCTTGGGACCGATGGCAGAAGAGGAGCAGACATCCACAAAGGACAAGTGGCAGAGAGAAAAGTACATGGGGGTCTGGAGTCGAGAATCCATCCAAATAAGAGTGATCATTCCCAAGTTTCCCGGAACAGTGACAAGATAAACAAAGAGAAATACCAGAAAGAGAGCAATCTTGTGCTGAAAGAGATTTGTTAATCCCACGGAAAAAAATTCAGTAACCAAAGTTTGATTTCTATAGTCCATTTCTCTGATTCAACCTGTTACAAGAAAGAGAAATAATTTTATATGCAATAAATTCATAATTAAGTGCTTCTTAATTTCACATCTGAATTTAACTTTTATTTAAGTTAAGTAGTACGACAGTCTTAAATTCTACTCCTGGTGTCCTACTTACTCTCTGTGAACCATTTCGGTGATACTGAACTATTTACGGAATCTCACTAGGTTCCTCAGTTTCCTTCTGATCAAAAGAGGATTTTCTTACAGAATTAGAACTTTAGACCTAGAAGTAAACTCTGGAGACTACTTAATGTAATCTTCTAACTGTGTCAGGTTACCTTTCTAAAAACATCTGCCTTCTAACCAAGGATATTTTAAGAAACACATCATAGAAAAAGGAATTATGAAAGCAATGAATTCAGGCTGATACCTGTCATCACACCAGATTAAGAGTAAATAGATATTGGCCCAGCACAGTAGCTCATACCTGTAGTCCCAGCACTTTGGGAAGCTGAGATGGGTGGATCCCCTAAGGTCAGGAGGTCAAGACCAGCCTGGCTAACAAGGAGAAACCCCATCTCTACTAAAAATACAAAAAGAATTAGATAATGTAATGCCCTTTCCAATTCACTTCCAATTCTATAGCAACAGTTAATCAAATTGTCTAAAATAATGGAGGGAAGGCTGAAACAAGAGAACCTGTCTTTGGAACAGGACTCAAACAACTCAACAATATCTTCTCTGGGATGCCTTCTCAGATCCTCCTGTATTCCTTCATATCATTGGTGTATATACCCATTAACACATTCACTCTTCATCGAATTTTGTCCGTCAAAGAAGAGACTTGTTCTTCAATATTGAGGAGGTACCATGATCCAATCAGTGTTATCAGTTTCTTGGAAAAGAAAGACAAAGAATTTAAGAAAGAAAGAGGGAACTCCTGGGCATTTATCCCAGAGAAAGGAAAACATGTCCATATAAAAACCTGTACAAGAGTATTCATAACATCTTTATTTATAATAGCCAAAAATTTGAAAAAAAAATCCTACAATAAGTGACTGGTTAAACAAACTGTGGTACAACCATACCATAGAATACTACTCAGTGATAAAGAGGAACAAACTATGATTCAGGCAACAACTTAGATAGATCTCAGGGACATTACACAGAATTGAGGAAAGTCCGTCTCAAAAGGTACAATACTCTATGATTTCACTCATTTAACATTCTCAGGATGGCAAAATTATAGAGATGGAGAGCAAGTTAGTGGTTGCCGGAAATTAGGGATGGTTAAAAAAAGGGTGGTGGTGTGATTATAAAGAGTAGCACAATAGAGATATTTGTGGTGATTAGATAGTTGTGTATTCTGATTCTGGTTGTGGTTAAACAAATCTACACATAACATAAAATGATATGGAATTCTATGCATGCATCATACAATGATACTATAATTGATATCAGTTTCCTGGTTTACATTATTGTACTATAGATACATAATATATAACTTTGGAAAAACTGGAAGAAGAGTACACGGGACCTCTTTGTGCTATCTGTGTACCTCTTGGTAATCTATAATTCTTTTAAAATATAAATTTAGAACAAAATTACAATGAAAGAGAAGGGAGAAGAAGGGGGAATGAGGATGAAGGGGAAAAAGGAAAACTGAGAAAGTCAGGCATACAATTTTTATCTTGAAATATTCATAATGATTCCAACAGAGGAGAAGTAATGAAAGAAGGTCTAACAACATTCTCCTCTGATCTAAAAGTTTCAAAAGGATTTTGGTTACCTGAAAATTCATGTAATGAAAAGCCACTGGCTTTTTATGGTCTCAGAGGCAAAGGAGTTTGAAAAAGAAAAGGCCTGAAGAGATGTAAATTTAAGATTAATAAGGAAAATCTATTACTTTAGTAGTAAAATGTTTCAAGAATTCTACTTTTTCTAAACATAGACACTAGCCCCAGGTTATTTATATTTTCATTACTTATCATGCAAAAGAATGGAAATAGAATTTTAAGCGTCAAAATAAATTTAGGTTATGGAAAAATTTTAGAAAACTGGAACTGGAATATACACATTGATGGCCTCAGATAATTGCCTCTGTAAATGAAGCTAATGAAGCACATACACCATTAATAATTGTTACTTTTTTTAAACTTGGTATTAAACCTGAAATCTTGTGCAAAACAATAGTTGCTGCAGAAAAGGCTATTAAGCTTTATTTTTCCCAGTCTTATACAAGCCAAAGATTGTAATAGAGAAAATTGCAATACTATACATGATTGTGATTTGGGGCCTGAGCAAAATGATAATTCAACTCAGCTGATCCAGAAGTTTCTCTTCTACTTATAATACACATTCTAGGTAAAGTGAAGTAATTACAAGCCAGAAAAGCCAAGGTTTCTTAATTCTAATATTCAATGAACCCATAAACCTTCCAGCAAATTTCACTGTCTCTATGCCAAACACAAAATTCAACTGACTTCAGTTGGGCCATTCAGTACATTTAAGTTGGGCCAATGAAACCAAAAGACACAAATATTCTATTTTTACCAAACCATCCTTCAGGGTGCTCTTAGAGATCACGTTTTTCCAGGCTTCTAAGCTTATTTTTTGCATACATGGCTTCCTGAATATAATTTGGGTGATCATTTAACTCCCCCATCTGAAGAAACCCTAGACTCTGTGTGCCTATGTCAAAGTGAATCACAAAACCCATAGTTTCTAATATTAAAATAAGTTACCCTACAAATGTAGACTTGTCCTCCTTCTCAGATTCTTCAGGTGTCCAAGAAGAGAAATAATATAGTGATACCATCTTGAAAACTGAACCTTCGAATAGCACTGTTAAAAAAGAGTTCATTGACCCAATTCTGCACAGGACACAGGAGAGATTTCTCTAAAGAGTTTTTCAGTAAATTGGCACCAACTACCCCAAGGAATCGGAAGCTCAGGGGATCAGGTCCATAGGGAGGATATTAACGTTATTTTCTAAGAAAATAATCTTAGGAGTTTTAAGTAAAGTGAAATTGCACAAAGTATAACTATATCTCTTTCTCTCTCTCTTTGAGTCTGCCCCAAAGAGAAATTCTAGTTGTCAGCCTGCAACTGCTGCCTGAGGAACACCAGCCCTTGGCACTATGCAGATGTGAGAATTCTAAAAAGAGAGTCCTGCTTCAGAGATTACAGTCAAAAGTGGGGTCTGGGTGCACAGCAGCTCTGGGAATGTTGTGATTCGTGCAGGAGTTCTAGGCAGGTGACATCTCTGTAACCAGAAGGGTTTGCACATAGTCTCATGGGGGTGATGAATCTCAAAAGGAGGCTAAGATATAGGTAAATAAAAGGAAAGTGGACTGAAGGTTTCTATGCAGCAATGAACAGCTATAAATTTGGACAGCATCTCTGCGAGACAAAGAGAGTCCACATACACTGTATAAAAAATTTCAAATGTTAAGTCTGAAAACATATATTTGGCCTTAAACTTCATATAGATTTTAACATTAGGCATAGGAGTTTGAATTTTTTTTCTGTAAATAATGAGGAGTCTATCAAGGTATTTCAGAAAACAGATGAAATTTATTTACACAATAGATGCCACAGGACATTAATCTTATTGTTGTTTACTGATGTGTCACATTCTTCTAAGTGGTTTGAAAGAACTAACTCAATCAAATGGCAAAGGAACCCAAAAAAGAGGATGAATAGGATATGAACAGACACTTCTCAAAAGAAGACATTTATGCAGCCAAAAAACACATGAAAAAATGCTCATCATCACTGGCCATCAGAGAAATGCAAATCAAAACCACAATGAGATACCGTCTCACACCAGTTAGAATGGCAATCATTAAAAAGTCGGGAAACAACAGGTGCTGGAGAGGATGTGGAGAAATAGGAACACTTTTACACTGTTGGTGGGACTGTAAACTAGTTCAACCATTGTGGAAGTCGGTGTGGCCATTCCTCAGGGATCTAGAACTAGAAATACCATTTGACCCAGCCATCCCATTACTGGGTATATACCCAAAGGAATATAAATCATGCTGCTATAAAGACACATGCACACGTATGTTTATTGCAGCACTATTCACAACAGCAAAGACTTGGAACCAACCCAAATGTCCAACAATGATAGACTGGATTAAGAAAATGTGGCACATATACACCATGGAATACTATGCAGCCATAAAAAATGATGAGTTCATGTCCTTTGTAGGAACATGGATGAAGCTGGAAACCATCATTCTCAGCAAACTATCGCCAGGACAAAAAAAACCAAACACCACATGTTCTCACTCATAGGTGGGAATTGAACAATGAGAACACATGGACACAGGAAGGGGAACATCACACACTGGGGCCTGTTGTGGGATGGGGGAAGTGGTGAGGGATAGCATTAGGAGATATACCTAACGCTAAATGACGAGTTAATGGGTGCAGCACACCAACATGGCACATGTATACATATGTAACAAACCTGCACGTTTGCACATGTACCCTAAAACTTAAAGTATAATAAGAAGAAGAAGAAAAGAAAAGCCTAGGATGTCCTATCTTTCCCCCACTCACCCAGTCCACTTTGCCCTCTTGAAACCAGCAAACCAAGATCCTTCCTCAGAATCTTTGCTCTCTTTTTTCCTTCTTCTCAAAACAATTCTCTCCAAATAGCTGCACAATTTGTTTCATTTTATCCGAGTTTCTGCTACAATATCCTCTCATCAGAAAGGCTTTCTCCAATCATCCTTCGGAAAAGAGTACAGCTGACCCCAACTCAGCCTCGTTCACTTCATTTCTCTTTGCCCAGTTTTATTTTTATTGAAAGTAATTGGTATTAACTAACATTGACTTGTTATTGCATTCACCTACCCCATAAGAATGAGCAGGGATTTTGTAGGATTGTCCACAATATATTCCCAAGCTTCCAAAGAGTTCATTAAAAAATAAGTGCTCGATGAATATTTTCAGACAAATGAGTAAGTGAATAAATGGACAAATACTTCTAAGAGTATGGCTGTAAAAAGGGGAGTTAGGAAATTAATCTAATTTCTTTTAGGGGTTGGATCATGAGAAACCTTATCTTGCACCACATATAAATATCAACCCAAAATGGATTCAAAATTTAAAACCTCAAACTGTGAGATTAATAGAAAAAAAGATAAAGGGTAAAAGCTCCATCACATTAGTCCGGGCATTATTTTTTTGTGTGTTTGTTTATTAGCCCAAAAGCACAGGCAACAGAAGCTAAACTAGACAAATTAAGTTGCAAACTACAAAGCTTCTGAACACGAAAAGAAAAAGTTATCAGTGAAAAAAAACACCCATGGATTGAGAGAAAAGATGTGAAAACTATATATCTGATCAGGTGCTTCATTTCTTCCTTATCCAAAATGTGTAAGGAACTCACATAACTCAACAGCAAAAAAAAAAAAAAAAAAAAAAAAAAAATGGCCAAAAAGGCTTGATAGACACTTCTCAAAACAAGACATACAGATGGCCAACAAGTATATAAAAAATATTCAACATCATTAACAATCATGAAAATGTAATAAAATATCAACTAGCATCTGTTAGAATGAGTATTATCAAAATACAAAAATGACCAATATTGGTAATAATGTGGAGAAAAGATAATCCTTGTAAACTGTTGGTAGAAATGTAAATTAGGGCAGTCATAATTAAAAACAGTGTGGAGATTCCTCAAAAAACTAAAAACAGAATTATCATACATTCCAACAATGTTGCTTCTGGGCGTATGTCCAAAAAAATCTAAATCAATATGTTGAAGAGATATCTGCACTTCCATTTTTATTGCAGCATTATTCACCATAGCCAAGATGTGAGAGCAACTTAAGTATTGATCAATGGATGACTAGAGGAAGAAAAGTTTATGTATTTAGTAGTATATTCAGTCATAAAAAATAAGGAAATTTGGTGACAACATTGATATACCTAGAAACATTATGCTAAATAAAATAAGCCAGGCACAGAAAGTTAAATACCACATGATCTCACTTACACGTGGATTCTAAAAAAAAGTCAGACTCATAGAAGTAGAGAGTAGAATGATGGCTACCGGGATCTGGAAGTAGGGGTGGGGATAAAAAGGAGATTTTGGTCAAAAGATACAATTATTCAGACTATATTAGAGTGAATATCTTTACATAGAGGACAAGAACTAAAAGATTATGAATATTATAGAATGGAAAAATAAATATCACAAGCAATGATGATATGACAATGACAACAACCAAAAGCTATCAAAAGTGAAAAACAGAATAAGAAAGAATTTGGCAGATGGAATACATCCACCCATCTTCTCATCTCATAGGAAATTTCTATCAGAAAGTATTTAAAGTTGACAGCATTCCATGTATATTTTGAAAAGGAAAAAAATTAACCACTAGAACCAACAAGAATAATACAACCTAAAAAATTCTAGAATGACAACAAAAAGACACATAAGTATCCTTTTTGAACATTTTTCTTAGCCTGGAATTAACTGATAAAGTTAAAAAATGCATGATTAACCACTTGAAGAGATAAAAACATATTATAAAGTTATCAAGGGAATATATACCTTTACATAACTCCACAAAACATAAAAAAATTTACACTGTGTAGCCATTAAATTTTTTAAAGCATTAAATGATAACCTAAAGTTGATAACTACACTATGGTTATGTAAGAAAATATTCCTTTTCTTAGGAAATACATAAGAAAGTATTTAGGGATAAACAACCATAATAAATATAATACATGTAACCTACATTTAAATGCTTTTGTATGTGTGATAATATACATGTACATGGGAGTAGTGGCAAAGGAAATGGAAAATATTAACAGGAATCTGAGCAAAAAGTATATGCGTGTTCTTTGCATTATTTAAATTTATCTATCTATTCTATATTATTTCTCTAAGGTTAAGAATATTGCCATATAAAAAGTTTTAGGGAAAAGCACTTGAAAGCGAACATCATTTTTAAAAGAAAAGAGAAAACTGAGACAAAACACATTTCTAATGTGGTTGTTGCAAAATTAGTTTTTTATTACAGAGAACCAGAAAGTAAATATTTATCAATAAGGGGCAGGTCAAACAAATAGTCAAGGAGAAACAGCTATGTGTTTTTTTGTCAAATAATAGCCAATAAAATTCTTAAGAAAGCAAAAAGTGGCGCAATGTGTACAGTAAACTCTCATTTGTTTTCTTTTTACTTTCTAACTTTTATTTTAGTTTCAAGGGGTACGGGTGCAGGTTTGTTATCCTGGTAAATTACATGTCATGGATGTTTGGTGTACAGACAATTTTGTCACCCAGATAATCAGCATAATATTTGATACGTAATGTTTTAATCCTTACCCTCCTCCTACCTTCCACCATAAAATAGGCCCCAGTGTCTACTGTTCCCTTCTTTATGTCCATGTGTAGTCAGTGTTTAGATCCCACTTACACATGAGAACATGTGGTATTTGGTTTTCTGTTCCTGAATTAATTTGCTTACGATAATGGCCTCCAGCTCCATCCATGTTGCTGCGAAGAACATATCATTTATTATGGCTGTGTAGTATTTTGTGGTGTGTAATACCAAATTTTTAAAATCCAGTCCACCATTAATGGACATCTAGGTTGATTCGATATCTCTGCTATTGTGAATAGTGCTACAATAAACATATGCACGTGTGTGTCTTTATGGTAGAACAATTCACATTCCTTTGGGTATATAATCAGTAGTGGGATATCTGGGTCGAATGGTAGTTCCATTTTACATTATTTGAGAAAGCTTCAGACTGCTTTTCACAGTGCTGAACTAATTTACATTCCCACCAGCTGTGTGTAAGTGTTCCCTTTTCTCCACAACCTTGTCAGCATTTGTTACTTTCTTTTTAATAACAGCTATTTTGACTGGTGTGAGATGGTATCACATTGTCGTTTTGATTTGCGATTCCCTAATGATTAGTGATATTTAGCACTTTTTCATATGTTTGTTTGTCACATGTATGCCTTCTTTTGAAAAGTGTCTGTTTATGTCCTTTGCCCACTTTTTAAATGGGATTTTTTGTTTGTTTGTTTGGTTGTCAATTTAAGTTTCTTATAGATTCTGGATATTAGACCTTTGTTGGATACATAGTTTGTGAATATTTTCTCCCTTTCTATAGGCTGTCTGTTTACACTGTTGACAGTTTCTTTTGCTTGTGCAGAAACTCTTTGACTTAATTAGGTCTTGCTTGTCAATATTTGTTTTTTTGTTTTTTTGTTTTTTTTTTTTTTTGGCCTTTTGGCTAAGATCAAGTGTAGTATCTACTCTTATCAGTTTGTTGTAATTGCTTTTGGAATCTTCATCACGAAGTCTTTGCCCAGGTTGATGTCAAAAATGTTATTTCCTAGGTTTTCTTCTTGGATTTGTATAGTTTGAGGTTTTATATTTAAGTCTTTAATCCATATTTGAGTTGATTTTTTATATTCTGAAATGTAGGGGTCTAGTTTTAATCTTCTGCATATGGCTAGCCAGTTATCCCAGCACCATTTATTGAACAGTCCTTTCCTTATTCCTTATTATTTTTGGCTTTGTTGAGATCAGGTGATTCTAGGTGTGTGGCTTTATTTCTGGTTTCTCTAACCTATTCCATTTGCTTATGTGTCTGTTTTTTGTATCAGTAGCACATTGTTTTAGTTACTATTGCCTTGTTGTATAGTTTGAGTCAGGTAATGTGATGCCTCCAGCTTTGTTCTTTTTACTTAGAATTGCTTTGGCCATTTGAGCTCTTTTTTGGTTCCAAATACATTTTAGAATTTTTTTCTAATTCTGTGAAAAATGTCACTTGTAGCTTGATAGGAATTGCACTGAATCTGTAAATAGCTTTGGGCAGTATGGTGATTTTAACAATATTATTCTTTCTATCCATGAGCATGGAATGCCTTAGCATTCATTTGTGTAGTCTCTGATTACTTTCAGTAGCATTTTGCAATTCTTATTGTAAAGATCTTTCACCTCCCTGGTTAGCTGTATTTCTAGGTATTTTATTTTTTTGTGGCTATTGTGAATGGCACTGCATTCTTAGTTTGGCTGTCAACTTAGATGTCATTGGTGTTTAGAAATGCTACTGATTTTTGCACATTGATTTTGTATCCTGAAAGTGCTGAAGTTGTTTACCAGATCTAGTAGCATACAAAATATGAGCGTACTTAACATCTTGGGAACACCTTGTTATCAACACAATTCAAATTGAGACAGAAAAATTTCCCTTTTGGGTAATCATATCCCTGAATTCCTTCTACTTTTGTATATATTTGTCTCAGCATCACGGGATGAACAGCACCAAAACAAAGCTACCAGAATGGTGGGCACTCATCTTTTAGATACAGATATTACCTGGAGTAAGACTTCATTGGCATAACTGTTTTAGATGTTAACTTTAAGCAGGACTTTTAAGGAAGTATCTATACAAAATAATCAAGGTTCATAATAGTACTTCAAAGAAAATAAATATTGGTTTCTAATAATTATGTGATGAAAACAAGATTCACAATGTATGGTTTCATTTTAAGATGAAATGAACTATAATTAAGATTAATGCTTTCTTTTACAACTTCAAATGAATATTACTCATAAAATTAAAAGATCATACCTCCATAAATATTAAAGCCTATCATAGAATTGGTAGCAATTAATATTAGCTTTTTTCTTAGTCTCTCTATATAGTAAACAAACCAGTTATTTTCTCCCTATTGTGCAAAGCCAAATAGTCAATGTAATTTATTTCAGATTGAGCACTTTTTAGAAAATAACTCAAATATATTCAAAGTTAATACTTTGAAGAATCATAGGAATATAAAAGAAAAATGTTAAATTCTTGCACTTTTTACCATTAGAGAGTTCTAATACAATAAAAATTGCTTTCTTTTTAACCTGTAAGAGAATAATAATGTGCAGAAAAAGTTAAGATGTTTTTGTTATGCAGGCAATAGTTGTGCTTCAGACTGGAATCTTTTTGAATGTATGTCATTTTCCTTTTAAAGAGAAATGAGAAAGAAAAAAGAACACTGTGAAATGAATAAAACGTCCCAGTTGCTTTCAACTGATACATTTTTTATACAGGAACTTCTAAGCAATCACACTGTTGTCATTATAAAGTTTTTTTTGGGTGGTTGGATATTTTTCCTTCACTCGTCTTCATCCTCTAGTAGACCCAGTAAAGTTAACTACAGAGATCTCAGGGGAATGGTACTTATAAATAGAGAGGCATATATCTCCTCTGAAGGCAGTTGTGTCTCAGCAATTTTCTTCTCATGGCCAAATTAGCTAGTCTCCATCCATTGATAAGGATAATACATAATAAAAACAAAAAATGCGAAAAGAATTATTGAAATCTCATTTTTTTCTGCTACACAAAAATGGAGCTATAGCACTCAGTGTAAACCAAACAATCTGAAAATATTCTGTGCAATACCTGTATGTGGTCAGAGTCTCCTTTGGCCTCAATCCCCTCCTCCACTCCTCTTCTTCTTTCCGCTGTCACTTCCCTTTATTTCCATAAGCAAGTATTGGTGAAATAGATCATTCAAGCATGCTATAACTTCAATGGAAGTCCACTCTCTCATTTGTGTAACTCTTCGGAATCTACACATGCACATACACTTATACATGTTTCTATATGCAAAAAAGTTCTCAAAAAATACAACATAAATTCTGTTTGGAATGGATAGGAAGCTTATCTTGTTTACATTTCCTAGTGTACTATTTGAATTTTGTACCATGTACAATCATACTGTATTATAAAAACACACTTTAAAATATAAAAATACTTTAATGTAATAAGTTGTATGAAGTTTTTAATCAAATGAAAGGTATTTATATCAATGGATAGAAATCAGGATATAAAATAGCATGTACAGTATATCCATTCACAGAAAAGACTCACAACTTAGGACCAAAACTTCCATTTTATGAATGTCTTCTCCAAACTTGTAAATTCTCTTTACTGCCACCCTTTTGCAAAAACATAAGTAATAATACTATTCTCCAACCACTGACCAAGAAGAAACTCATTTCTTTAAGCCAAAATATGAATATTGATATTCCCAGCAGTTTATTTGAATCAGATTTGTATATTCTCCTGACCCACACACAGTCATTTAAAATGAAATGTGGTCACTTTCTCACTGGGCAGGGTCAGTGCATGATGCAACTGTTCCTCCCATTACTAGCAGAGAATAAGAAGGTTAAAATCAGCTCCTGACTAAATGACTGTCCCTAGATAAAGTATAGATGAAAACTATTTCCATTTGTTGCAATGATCAGTATAGCAAACTCTGTTTGTGCCTCTCTCTTATCATTTCAGTGCACTTCAGTTCCATCTTCAACTGCTAACACCAAAGGTTTTTGTGTGTGGATTTGTGTGTGTGTGTGAGGATTTATCTTTCCGCCGCTTTTCTACCTGCCTAACAAGCTGGAAGTGGCAGAAAATGAACACTTTCCAGGAGCAACTGTCAACCAAAGACTGGCTTATGTAAACATTTCTTGACTCAGGCTCTCTCAGGTGGGAATACTCTGATTCTTGTGTTTTATGCACTGGCACCCAGAGATCTCCAGCACTGGCAGTGCTCAGTTGACCACTGCAGTGATCTTCTCATTAACACTTTAAATAGTTCAATAAATAGCTGTATACTACATAGAATCCAAAAGGTAACCACTAGAAGAGATAAGAACTGATTACCATGTTTCTAAATTATCAAATGGAATATACACCTTTATACCATCACTCCCAAAATAAATATAGGAAACTCTTCCAGAGAGTATTAATTTCTTTCCATTCATTATCTCACTTCTAACTTCCCTGTCAATGTTTTAGTTGCTTCCCAAATAAACTATTATCAACCAATGCTTGCACTTGAATCTTTTCCTCAAGGTTTGTTTCCTGGAAAACTCAAACTAAGATGCCTCGTACCAGAGTGACCCTTAAGGTGCAGATTATTGGGATGTAATTCTGGAATCAAATTACTCACTGGAAAGATGGCAACAATACCCATTGCTGATGGAACAGAATGGTAATAACCATGGGCATGCCTTAGCATCTCAGTTACCAAGACTCACCTGCAGTGAATTGGGATAGGGTACAAGTGAGAGATGTATGTTGACTTATGCAACATGAGAAATATGGGGAGCAACAATAATTATTAAACTATGAAATTAATTTACATTAAATGTCTTTAATATGCTCAATGATGAAAACAGACTCAAATAGGACAATTTTCAACTCAGGCATGGTGTCAAAGTCAGAAAGGCAATGTTCAAAAAACATTCATCTTCAATTAGAGACCAGACTGCATGAAAACTCTACCCAGACTGCATGAGAACTCAATCAGATTTGTATATTACAGATGTTACACATCTTGTACCAGGTTGCAAGAAGTAATAATAAAAAAGCTAAATTCAAAGCCTCTTTAGAGCCACAGAACTCTGACAGGGGAAAAGCTGAACACTGAGAATTGGGATTAAGACATCGGTGTGTATGTGCTTGAGATTTTCCAGTACCCTTGAAACCTTGAACCTGCAGAAGTAGTCCTGTTCCCTTTGCCAGAAGGCAGCAGCCTTCCTTTGCTTAGAGAGAATAAAGAGGCCTCACATGAGTCAGAGCATTCACAAGAGAGTAATTTCTTTTCTCAGGATGTAGTCTTTCTTCCCCTCATGGCTCTTAGACTTAGCAACCAGGGTCAAGGCTTAGAATGATGAGGTGTGATGACTAAGGAGAATTGGCTCTACTTTAAGAGGAAAATGATTACCCACCAGGAGTTCAAAGAATTGGCTAAAATGTGCCACAAGAACAAGGAGAACATATAAAAGCATATATTAATATCTTGAGGGTAATTCTAGGACTGGGGAAATAAAAAGCTGAGTAGGGGAGAATTTTCTGACATAGGAGAACCTCAGTGACTCAGAAATTAGCTTGCAGGCAGGACACCAGAAGCTGATTCTAATGCACTGTTAGGATGGCTCTTTGAATTTTGGAAAAAATAACAGCATGCAGTAAAAGAGGTAGGGATGCCATTATTGCCATGCAGAGTGTTGAAGAAAAGGCCCAAATGCTCAAAGAGGTAGAGATGCTTAAAAAGGATTTATTACACAAGACCAAAGAAGCTACAGATGCATGTATACCTGAGAAGACCCAAAGGACACTTTTTCCACTAAAGCAATAAAGATAAGCACTAGAGAGCCACCAGCTTGGTGAAAAGCTCAGTCGTTTGAGATGCTGCTATGGATCTAGGCTTCCTGGAGTCACTGGAGATGATAGGATTCCAGAACACTTGAATTGGAAATTAATGCCACCACTAAAGACATAAAAAATGTAGCAGCAGTTGTCTCTTTTCCCTCTCTATTTAATTCATCAGCCTGGACCCTGAAGACCCATATGTTTTCTAGAGAATGAATATAGACTGCCTCGAGTTCAGCCAAGTAGTAGCCCCAATAGCAGTGTTATACTAAACACAGAATCATTTAAAAGGTCTCCAGTATATGATACAGTCAGTGATTTGGGGAATGAATTATTTTCTGTTGCGGTTAGAAAAGAGGATCAGAAATGACTTACATTCATGTGAGATGAACGATACTGTATTCACTTTCAATTATGTCTCAAGACTATGTTAGTTTTCCTGCCCAAGGAAATATAGAATGAAGATATTGTCCACCTAAGCATTTCTCAAAACATCATACTGATTTATTACATTGATAACATCATAATGACAGAGCAAGTTACACAAGTTGTTACTAGAATATTGGAGATCTTGGTAAAGCACATGTGCTACAGGGGGTATGAGATAAACCATATTAAGATTTGGGAATTTGGACACTTAGGGAAAGCTTTTGCAGGTTCAGTGCTTAGGGGAATACTAGAATAACTCCTTTGAAGTGAAGATCACAGAGGCAGTGTCTTGGTAGGACCCTGGGTTTTGGAAGCAACACATTCCATAGCTAAGAATATTGTTCCAGCCGCTATACCAAGTGACACAAAGGCTGCTAGTGTTAACTGGAATCTGCTGCAGGAAAGGGCTCTGCAGCAGATCCCAGTTGCAGTCCAAGCAGCCCTGCCACTTGAGCCACGTGATGTACAACAGATGTTATGATGTTGAAGGTTGCAGTAGTGGGAAAAGAAGCAGTGTGGAGCTTATTACAAGACTCAGTGGGAATCTGCCGTTTGACATTTGAATGCATTCTTAAGTAAATGTGTTTATATTATACATCATTCTAATGGACATGTCTCACTTTATGTTTTTTTTGCTAATGACTTATTACTTGCCATTTATTTTATATTTATTTTAGACTGTGGAAATGATGTTAGACAAAAAGCAAATTTGAATGATTATCTTATTCGAGTTCAAAATGGGTTGTAAAGCAGCAGAGACAACTCTCAACACCAGCAATGCATTTGGCCCAGGAACTGCTAACAGATGTACAGTGCAGCAGTGGTTCAAGAAGTTTTGCAAAGGAGACAAGAGCCTTGAAGATAAGGAGCATAATGGCCGGCAATCAGAAGTTGGCAATTACCAAATGAGAGCAATCATCAATGCTGATCTTACAACTACACAAGAAGTTGCCAAAAAGCTTGATGTCAACCATTCTACAGTCATTGAGCATTTGAAGCAGATTGGAAAGGTAAACAAGCTCAATACATGGGTGCCTCATGAGCTGAGCAAAAATTTTTTAAAAATGTCTTTTTGAAGTGTTGTCTTCTCTTGCTCTACACAATAACAAACCATTTCTCAATCGGATTGTGAGGTGCAACAAAAAGTGGATTTTATATGTCAATCGGCAATGACCAGCTCAGTGGTTGGACTGAGAAGAAGCTCTAAAGTGCTTCCCAAAACCAAACTTGCACCAAAAAAAGGTCATGGTTGACAGAGCAGGAGCACCATTATCTCAGACAAACACTGCTACTTTAAGTTCCAGCTCCCTTTCTAGCTTCACAGATTCCAAGGAATCACTTTCTCTTCTAACTACAAGCAGCCAGAAAAGAGCAGACAGTAAAACACAGATAACACAGCTCAGGTGCAGAGGAGGGTGGGGAGGAAGTCTCTTGGGTAACTGCCAAACTTCACGCTCATACAATGGGGCCCCAGTAATAAGCACATTCCTTTCCTTTCAGGTCCACTAAGATAGGGAAGCTAAAGGCAGACTCGGGCGAGGTGCTTGCAGCTGCAGAAAGGTGTATGGGAACTGACACACAACTTTCCCTCCCAGATAAGCACAACAAAGAGACACAGAAGCAGTCCAAGCCTCTAATAAACTCTCCCACACTGAATCCTTAAAAACTCTTAGTCTGTAAGAGAGTGCAGCTTTTGACCTAACTCAGCCTGAAGTCCCTCCCATGTTTGTTTTCCGAAATAAACCATTAACTGTCAAGCCACCCTTTGTGTTTCTCTCCTCTTTATTTAATTCTTACAATGGTTGCTGTTATGTGGTCTGCCACCAGTCAGATCCACTACAGCTTTCTGAATCCTGGTGAAACCACTACATGCTGAGAAATATGCTCAGCAAATCAATGAGATGCAGTGAAAACTGCAATGCCTGCAGCTGGCACTGGTCAACAAAAAGGACCCAATTCTTCTCCACAACAATGCCAAACACATGTTGTACAACCAATGCTTCAAAACTTGAATGAATTGGGCTACAAAGTTTTGCCTCATCCCCTATATTCACCTGAGCTCTCACCAATCAACTACCACTTCTTCGAACATCTTGACAACTTTTCGCAGGAAAAACACTTCCACAACAAGCAGGTTGCAGAAAATGCTTTCCAAGAGTTTATTGAATCTCAAAGCAGATTTTTTTTTTTCCGAGATGAAGTCTTGCTCTGTTGCCCAGGCTGGAATGCAGCGGTGTGATCTCAGATCACTGCAACCTCCACCTCCCAGGTTCAAGTGATTCTCCTGCCTCAGCCTCCCAAGTAGCTGGGACTACAGGCACGTCCCACCACACCTGGCTAATTTTTTGTATTTCTAATAGACACAGGATTTCACCATGATATCCAGGATGGTCTCAATCTCCTGACCTCGTGATCTGCTTGCCTCGGACTCACAAAGTGCTGGGATTACAGGTGTGAGCCACCATGCCCAGCCAAAGCACAGATTTTTATGCTACAGGAATAAACAAACTTATTTCTCGTTGGCAAAAATATGTTAATTGCAATGTTTCCTATTTTGATTAATGAGGTTGTGTTTGGGCCTAGTTATAATAATTCAAAATTCACAGTTCAAAACCACAATTACTTTTGCACCATCCTAAATATATATTTTTAGCAATTTGCATTCTCATTTTTATGAATTGCCTATTCATGAGTTGGCCCATTTATCTTTGTTTTTCTCTTTGATGGACTGTGAATTTGGGCATGTTCTTTGGATATTAGGGATATTGATTGCTTAGCACAGGTACACAACTATTTTCTCTCATTTTATTATTTGTCTTTTAACATTGTATGTAGTGCTTTGATCTTTTCTTTATAACTTTTCATTTTTATATCTGGGTTCAAAAGTATTCACACACTCAAGATTTTTCAAATGTTCACTTACATTTTCTTCTTGTATATTTTTATATTTATATTCTCAGTCCATCTTTATATTTATTTTGAGATTCTCATTATGTCACAGAAAATAAGACTGAGGCAGAAAAATATTTTAAAGCTTATCCATTTTTAAATAATCTATGACCTGTCAGAATCAGTACTCACGTGCAGCTTCTGGTTCTCAGTCCAGTTTTGTTTTTATTACATATTTTGCACCAACATCTATGCTACAACACAAATAGAATTCTCTTTTACCTACCTATAATAAATTTTTTCCTCTCAATTTTTCTTCTGAATGCATCTTTCACCTCCTTATTCCTCAAGCTGTAAATAAGGGGGTTAACCATGGGGATTACCACAGTATAAAATAGAGAAATCACTTTATAGATACCCAGGGAGGAACTTGAACTTGGCCGAACATAAATCAAGAAAAGAGTCCCATACAGGATGGAGACAGCCGCAAGGTGAGAAAAACAGGTGAAGAAAGCTTTTTGCTTCCCATCAGCAGTCTGGATCTTCAAGATGGTCATCAGGATGCAAATATAGGAGACCATGATGATCAGACCACTGAGTACTCCTATAGCTCCAGCCAAGACAAACAGCACAAATTTATTCACCCAGGTGTCTGCACATGCTAGGGAAAGCAGTGGAAAAATATCACAGAAAAAGTGATTGATAATATTTGAACCACAAAAGGGTAAGCAAAAAGTGAAAATTGTATGAGTCATGGTGCTTATAAGAGCCATGGCATAAGGCCCTACCACCAGCTGCATACAGACCTGCTGAGACATAATGAGCGTATACAACAAGGGCTTGCAGATGGCCACATACCGGTCATATGCCATGGCAGCCAGAGAAAACACTCAGCTGCCTCAAAGAGACCAAAGAACCACATCTGTGCAGCACAACCCAGAAAAGTGATGTCTTTTTTCTCTGCAAAGATATTACACAGCATCTTAGGCACAACAGAAGAAGAGGAACAAATATCTACAAAGGACAAGTGCCTAAGAAAAAAGTACATAGGAGTGTGGAGTCTGGGATCAATCCATATGAGAGTGATCATCCCCAAGTTACCTCCCAGGGTGATAAGATAAACAAAGAGAAACATGAAGAAGAGAACAATCTTCTGATAGGGATGATCTGTGAGGCCCAATAAGAGAAATTCAGTCACTACTGTCTGGTTCTTATCTTCCATTGGTTCCATTGGTTCATTGTAATCTGTCATAAGAAAGAGGAATTATTTTTATTACAAAGGAAATCAATGATTAATAGCTACAAATAGTATTTGAAGCTAATGATAGATTATTTTAAACAGGGTTATAAGAGACAATTGTGAAATAGTGTTGGTCTGGGAGATACTCCTAGATACTAGATGTGAGCAGTTGTGCAAAGATCCTGTGTAAATGTGAACAATTTACTCTTTACCTCTTTGGATCCTATACACTCTCCCACCAAGAGCCATCCAATTGTGGCTCACATCTGTAGTCCCAGCTACTCAGGAGGCTGAGGAAGGAGGATCACTTGAGCCCATGTGTTCAAGGTTGCTGTGAGCTGTGATTCCACCACTGCACTCCAGCTTGTGTAACAGAGTGAGATCCTGTCTCTAAAAAATAGAAAATAGTCATCCAATTATATGACCTAAAATGCCCTCAGATTATAAAATTATATTTGAAATGAGAATTATTTTACTCTCCATATTCCATGTCACCATATAATGAGATAATAAACCCACTTAGGAATACCCTAAAGATGTAAAGTGAAGGATATGAACAGACACTTCTCAAAAGAAGACATTTATGCAGCCAAAAAACACATGAAAAAATGCTCATCATCACTGGCCATCAAAGAAATGCAAATCAAAACCACAATGAGATACCATCTCACACCAGTTAGAATGGCAATCATTAAAAAGTCAGGAAACAACAGGTGCTGGAGAGGATGTGGAGAAATAGGAACACTTTTACACTGTTGGTGGAACTGTAATCTAGTTCAACCATTGTGGAAGTCAGTGTGGTGATTCCTCAGGGATCTGGAACTAGAAATACCATTTGACCCAGCCATCCCATTACTGGGTATATACCCAAAGGATTATAAATCATGCTGCTATAAAGACACATGCACACGTATGTTTATTGTGGCACTGTTCACAATAGCAAAGACTTGGAACCAACCCAAATGTCCAACAATGATAGACTGGATTAAGAAAACGTGGCACATATACACCATGGAATACTATGCAGCCATAAAAAATGATGAGTTCATGTCCTTTGTAGGGACATGGATGAAGCTGGAAACCATCATTCTCAGCAAACTATCGCAAGGACAAAAAGCCAAACACCGCATTGTCTCACTCATAGATGGGAACTGAACAATGAGAACACATGGACACAGGAAGGGGAACATCACACACCGGGGACTGTTGTGGGGTGGGGGGAGTGGGGAGGGATAGCATTAGGAGATATACCTAATGCTAAATGACGAGTTAATGGGTGCAGCACACCAACATGGCACATGTATACATATGTAACAAACCTGCACGTTGTGCACATGTACCCTAAAACTTAAAGTATAATAATAATAAAATTTTTAAAAAATACTTAGAAAAAATCTAAAAAAAAAAATAATAAAATCTGCAATCAGAGCATTCACCCTAAAAAAAAAAAAAAAGAAAACAAAACAAAACAAAACCAATGAGAAGTTCAGATCCTAACATTAGATATCAGGGAAAATACAAGCAGGGGAGTTCTTATTCTTTTTAAATGATTAGTAACATCCTAATGTTATTAAGGCATAATTCATAAGTGTATTTATCACTGTTTTCCCTATTCTCCCTTATATAAGGACGTGGAAATGATAATACACTTAACAAAAAGGTTGCTTATTGAAAATTAGTAAAAATAAATTTTAGTTGTTCATGTTTATAAAGACCTGCCCTCAGATCTATGACAGATCTGAGGTCAAAAGAGGCATCAGGAATCAAGAATATAAGATGATAGATTGAGAAGGAAGGGCAGGGGCTAGAAATTTCTCTCAACCTTGTAATTCCAATAAAGGAAGATGATGCCATGGGAGGAATTGAGAGACCTTCCCTGCCTTTGAGATCAGGTGATCTGGCAAATGTTGTACAGAAACTTGTGATGGAAATTACATAGAAAATTAAGATCTGTTGAGCTAAAGTAACACATAATTATTTTACATGCTTTCCTATATTTTATGTAAATATTTTAAGGCACTTATCCTGGAGTCTGTGAGGCAATATCAATTATAGTAATAATATGTGAAATGTCAAATGCTTAATACTTTATACAGGGAAAACCTTCAAGAAAATACTATGTTTGTGACACATTTGTCATGAAATAACAAATAAAACCCCTTAAAATTTCTAGAAGAAGACAATCTTGTAGGATGATTTATGAAAAAAAAGAACCTGGTTTATACAACACCATCACTTCAATTAATATCCTGTGTGGATAAAATACAAACAGCATACCATTCTTGAATTAAATACTAATTAATGTGTGAAACTTAGTATATACTCTCAAACAGTTAATAGTCACTGTATCTATCTGATTTATGATAATTTTATCATTATCATGATTGTTTGTTTCATGCTATTGTGGAATGTATTTTCAGCAGTCACAAGGACAATTTTAGGCTTACATTAAGAGTATTATCCATTGCAGAAGTGTTTCTGTTTATCCATATTCAAATATGTCAAGATTGGTGTGTGGGGATAAGAGGTGTACAGACTGATTATAGTTTTAGTCCAAATACTACTTATTTATTTACTTGATTGTAATTCATTTTGAGTTTTCTGTAAAATAAAGAGGATGTTCTGTATGCTTTTCAATATCTAACATTCCATGGTCTTAGAATTCTTCATGAACATTACAGTGCCTTTCTCTTTTTTCATTTTACAGAATTATTTTATTTTATGTAATTATTTTATTTTTAATTTGCAAATAAAATTGTTTCTATTTCTTAGGTACAACATGATGTTTTGAAATTTGTATTCATTGTAAAATGGCTAAATCAGGCTAATTAACATATGCATTGCCTCACATATTTATCATTTTTTGTTGGGAGAACACTTAAAATCTCTCTTAGCAACTTTTAGGAATATAAAACATTGTTACTAACAATATCTCCATATTATTTTTAAAAAACAGGAAATTCAGTTGTTTCATTTCACCAAGATGTGAACAAAATGCCAATGTTTGCTCTCTTTAGAGAAACTGAGGTGGAAGGTCATGTTCCCAAAGTTCAAACTAATCCTGAGGTTCTTCTACAAAAGTTGCCTCTACCAAAAAGTTTATGTTTTCCAAATGCAGTTTACTCACTTTTTTATGTATCTCCGTTAACTGCTTCAAAGCAAACGATCATTTTCTATTAGTAAGAATGGAAGATGCAGCTCCCTCCATGGTGGTAACCGTTTTCAAGAAGTATTAATTTCCAGGTACCTGAAGAGGAAGACAAATCCCTCATATTGATGAGCCTAGGTTAAAGAGATACTTTTTGACCCACACATTCATTCACATACTGCACAAAATAAGTGACATTTTTAAGGAGTTTTCAGTAATTTAGAATCAGGTCCCCAAAGAACTTAAACCTCAAGAGCTTACACCTGAAGGGACAAAATTAAACTGGTATCAGTTGCATTGGGACAAAGTAGTATCTCCTTATTGTATCTTAAAGAGAGGATTCCCAAGAAAACTCTGTATGTGTGTGTGTATGCACGTGTGTTTGTGTGTGTGTGTGTGTGTGTGTGTGCCCCTTTAGGATTCTCCTTGCCAAAGAGAGACCACTTTTACATCAGTGGAAAATGATGCATTGAGGAGTAAGCACAAGCTGGGATGAGGTAGTTTGCTGGCTGGATTCTCACCCTGCAAATCTCCTCCAACACAGAGCTCTGCTCTGGTTGTATCTGAAATACAAAAGATACAGAGCTCTGCTCTGGTTTTGTATCTGAAATACAAAAGAAGCATGTCCAACATCCAGGGCACACTGCTGCAAGGCGTGAGCTCCCAGGTCTTGGGCAACTCTACCTACCCCTGTTGCTTTGTAAGGTTCAGTCCCCACAGTTGCTTTCAGGGGTTGGAGTTGAACGCCTGTGGCTTTTTCAGATGCAGTGTGCAAACTCCTGGTGGAGCTACCATTCAAGGGTCTAGAGGACTGTGGCTCACTTCTCAGAGCTCCATTAGGCAGTGCCCCATTGGGGACTTTTTGTGGGGCTCCAACCCCACATTTCCTCTTGGCACTGCCCTAGTAGATGTTTCCTGTGAGGGCGCCATCCCTGTTGAAGGCTTCTGCCTGGGCACCCAGGCTTCCTCATAAATCCTCTGAAATCTAGGTGGAGACTACCAACTGTTCTTTACTCTTACATTATGTGCACCATAAAGTTTAACACCACATGGAAGCCACCAAGGCTTATGGCTTGCATTCCCCAAAGTGGCAACCCAAGCTGTACCTGGGTCCCTTTGAGCTCTGGCTAGAGCTGGAGTTGCAGTAGCCAGAATGCAGAGAACAGTGTCCTGAGGCTTTGCAGGGCAGTAGGGCCCTTGACCATTCCCATTAAAACATTCTTTCCTCCTTAGTCTCTGGGCTGTGATGGAAGGGACTATTGCCAAAGTTTCTGAGATGCCTATCCAGCCTTTCCCTGTTATCTTTTATAGTAGCACTTGGCTCCCTTTTAGTTATGCAAATATCTCTAGCAACTGGTTGCTCCACAGCCTGCCTGGATTCCTCTTCCCAAAAGCTTTTTCTTTCTCTGCTACATGACCAGGCTGCAAATTTTCCAAACATTTATGTTCTGCTTCCCTTTTAATTATAAGTTCCATTTTAGTTTTTTGCTCCTGCATCTGAGCATAGGCTGTTAGAAGAAGCCATATCATTTCTTGAACACTTCTAGAAATTGTTTTCATCTGCATCACTCTCAAGTCCAAACTTCTACACAACCCTACAAAGAATGCAGCCAAGCTCTTTGCTAAGGCATAGCATGTGTGATCTTTGCTCCAGTTCCCAATAAGTTCCTCATTTCTATCTGAGACCTCATCAGCCTGGACTTCATTGCCCATATTACTATCAGCATTTTGATCACAACCATTTTATGAGTCTCTAGGAAGTTCCAAACTTTCCTTCAACTTCCTATCTTCCTCTGAGCTCTTCCCACTTCGAAAGTCACTTCCACATTTTCAGATGTTATCACAATGCCCTACTTTTCAGTACCAACTTTCTGTATTAGGTCATTCTTTAATCGCTGCAAAGAAATACTTGAGAATGGATAATTTGCAAGAAAAGACGTTTAAATGGTTCATGGTTTCATGGTTCTGCAGGCCATACATCTGCTTCTGGGGAAGCCTCAGGGAGATTTTATTAATGACGGAAAGTGAAGCAGGAGCAGTCATTTCACATGGAGAAGTCAGGAGCAAGACAGAGAGAGAGAGAGAGTTGGGGGGTAGGGAGGTGCCATACACTTTTAAATGATCAGGTCTCATGAATACTCACTCACTATTATTGAAAAAGAACAAAACCATGAGGTATCTGCCTCCATAATCTAATCACCTCCCACCAGGCCCCATCTCCAAATTAGGGCTTATAATCTAACGTGAGATTTGGGCAGGACAAATGTTCAAACTATATCATGCTTTGAGAGTTAAAGATGGCATAGTCATTTTAAGAAAGACCCAAACAGAACTCCCAAAATTGAAAAACTCACTATAAGAATTTCATAGTACAGTTGGAAGTATTAACAATGGAATAGACCAAGCTGAGGAAAGAATCTCAGAGCTCAAAAACCATTCGTTCAAACTAACATGGTCAGACAAATAAAAGATGAATAAAATAATAACTTAAAAAAAACTCTGATAAATATGGGATTATGTAATGAGACCAAATATAGGACTCACTGGCATTCTTGAGAAATAAGGACAAAGAGTAAGCAACTTGGAAAACATATGGGAAGATACAGGCCTCACAAAATTTCCCAAGTGCTATAGTGGTTGGCATGCAAATTCAAGAAACTCAGAAGAGAGCCACTGCAAGATGCTATAAAAATGACCATCCCCAACACACATAGTCATCGTGTTCTCCAAAGTTAACATGAAAGACAAAAAATCTCAAAGGCAGCTAAAAAAAAAAGAAAAAAAAAGGGGGGTTCAGGTCACTTACAAAAAAAAAAAGCCCCATTAGGCTAACAGCAGACTTTTCAGTAGAAATCTTATAAGCCAGAAGAAATTGGGGGTCTGTTTTTAGCATCCTTAAAGAAAAGAAATTCCAACCAAGAATTTCATATTTCACCAAACTAAGCTTCATAAGCAAAAGAGTAATAAAATTCTTCCAGACAAGCAAACACTAAAGAAATTTGTTACCACTAGACTAGCCTTACAAGAGGTCCTTAGGGGAGTTCTAAATATAGAAACAGGAAAACAATATCTGCTACCACAAAAACACACCCAATGTATTTATAGCAGGTACACAATTGAGTTTACAAAGCAAGCAGCTAACAACACAATGACATGATTAAAATCTCACATATCAATATTAAACTTGAATGTAAATGATTGAAATGCACTGCTTGGCAGAGTGACAAGTTAGAAAAAACAAAACCTAACCATGAACAGTTTTCAAGAGACCCATCTCACACGTAATGACACCAACAGGTTCAAAGTAAAGGGATGGAAAATGATCTCTTATGCAAATAGAAAACAAAAAAGAGCAGAGATTACTCTTCTTAAATCACTTAAAGGAGTCTTTAAATCAACAATAGTGTAAAAGGACTATCAGGGGAACCAGCCCCCAATATTTCAACATAGGTTCTTTTCTATTTTCCCTAAGTGTTGGCCAGCCTGAGAAATAAAGAGAAAGAGTACAAGAGAGAAATTTTACAGCTGGACCTCCAGGGGTGACATCACATATTGGCAGTTTCTGTGATGCCCCTTGAGCTGCGAAACCAGCAAGTTTTTATTAGGGATTTCAAAAGGGGAGGGGAGTACAAACAGGGAGTAAGTCACAAAGATCACATGCTTCAAAGGGCAATTTTTATTGCAGAAGGGCAGAGCAAGATCATAAGGCCAGGGCGAAATTAGAATTTCTGATGAGGTTTCATGTCCCACTGGGCACATATTGTCTTGATAAACATCTTAACAGGAAACAGGGTTTGAGAGCAGACAACCGGTCTGACTAGAATTTACCAGGCTGGAATTTCCCAATCCTCGTATGCCTGAGGGCACTGCAGGAGACCAGGGCATATTTCATCCCTTATCTTCAACCACATAAGACAGACACTCCCAGAGCGGCCATCAATAGACCTACCCCTGGGAATGCATTCCTTTCCCAGGGTTTTTCCTTGCTAGGAAGAAAATTCAGTGATATTTCTCCTATTTGCTTTCTGCAAGAAGAGAAATATGACTCTGTTCTGCCAGGCCCCGCAGGCAGTCAGACCTTATGGTTATCTCCCTTGTTCCCTGAAAATCGCTGTTATCCTGTTCTTTTTTAGGATGCCCATATCCTAAAGATTTCATATCTTTTAAACACACATGTTTTACAAACAATTTGTACAGATAATGCAATCATCACAGGGTCCTGAGGTGACATACATCCTCAGCTTACAAAGATGATGGAATTAAGAGATTAAAGTAAAGACAGGCATAGGAAATTATAAGAGTATTGATTTGGGAAGTGATAAATGTCCATGAAATCTTCACAATTTATGTTCAGAGATTGCAGTAAAGACAGGCGTAAGAAATTATAAAAGTATTAATTTGGGGAACAAACAAATGTCCATGAAATCTTCACAATTTATGTTATTCTGCCACAGCTTCAGCTGGTTCCTCCATTCAGGGTCCCTGACTTCCCACAACAAAGGACAAAGAAAGACATTACATAATGATAAAGGGTTAAATTCAGCAAGAAGACTTAACTATCATAAATATATACACATCCAACATTGGAGCACTCAGATTCATAAAATAAGTACTTGTAGACATTTGAAGAACTTAGCTACAAAATAAAAATGAGATCTTTAACACCTCACTAACAGTGTTAGACAGATGCATGAGGCAGAAACCTAACAAAGAAACCCTGGACTTAAATTACACTCTTGAATCATTGGACCTAATAGAAAACCACACAATACAACACCTAACAACCACAGAATATACATTCTTTTCAACTTCACATGGAACATACTGTAAGATTAACCACATGCTCAGCCCTAAAGCAAGTCTCAATAAATTCCAAAAGATTCAAAATCACATCAGTCATACTCTTGGACCACAGTGCAATAAAAACATAAAATCAATACCAAGAAGATTTCTCAACACCACACGATTTCATGTAAATTAAACAACTTACTCCTCAATGACTTTGGGATAAACAAAAAAATTGATGCAGAAATTAAAAAAAAATTCTTTGAAATTAATGAAAACAGAGACACAACATACCAAAATCTCTGGGATGCAGTTAAAGCAGTGTTAAGAGGAAAGTTTATAGTGCTAAATGCCTACATCAAGAAGTTAGAAAGATATCAAATTAATAATTTACCATCATACCTGTAGGAACTAGAAAAACAAGAAAAATCAAACCCCAAAGATAGCAGAAGAAAACAAATAACTAAAGTCAAAACAGAAATCTACAAAATTGAGATGTAAAAATCCACAGAAAAGATCAATGAAACCAAAAGTTTGCTTTTTGAAAGAATAAAAAACACTAATAAACTACTAGCTAGATTAACAAAGGGAAAAAAAGGAAAATCCAAAAAAGCACAATCAGGAACGACAAAGATGACATTAAAACAAGTCCCACAGAAATACAAAACTCCTCAGAGACTACTATGAGCACCTCTATGTACACAAATTAGAAAATCTAGAGGAAATTAAAGAATTTCTAGAAATACACAAATTCCCAAGCTTAAACCAAGTAGTAATTGAATCCCTGAACAGACCAATAACAAGTTCCAAAATGAATCAAAAATAATTAAAAAAAAAAACTAGCAACAAATAAAAGCCCTGGATGAGATGGATTCACAGCCAATTTCTACCTGACATACAAAGAAGAGCTGATATCAATCCTACTGAAACTACTGCAAAAAACTAAGAAAGAGGGATTCTTCTCTAAGTTATTCTATGAAGCCAACATCACCCAATACCAAAATCTGGCAGAGACACAATAAAGAAAGAGTACTACAGGCTTATATTCATGATGAACATAGGCAAAAAAAGTCCTCAACAAAACATCAGCAAATCAAATCCACCAATGCATTAAAAAGTTAATTCGCCATGACCAAGTAGACTTTATTTCTGTGATGCAAGTTTGGTTAAACATATGCAAATGAATTAGTGTGATTCACCATATAAACAGAATTAAAAATAAACTATATGATCATCTCAATAGATGCAGAAAAACTTTCCATAAAATCAAAACTCTTCATGATAAGAACTCTCAAGAGACTAGGCATCAAAGGAACGTCTCTTAAGAGCCACTTATGATAAACCCATAGTCCACAACACACAGAATGGACAAAAATTGGAAGCATTCCCTTGAGAACTGGAACAGAACAAGGATGCCCACTCTTACCATCCTATGCAACATCATACTATAAGTCCTAGCCAAAGCAATGAGGCAAGAGAAATAAATAAAAGGCATTCAAATAGGAAAAGAGGAAATCAAACTATCTCTTTTCATGGGTGATATGATTGAATCCCTAGAAAACCCTGAAGACTCTGCCAAGAGGCTCCTTAAACTGATAAACCACTTTAGTAAACTTTCAGTATACAAAATCAATGTACAAAAATCAGTAGCATTTCTATACACTAATAATGTTCAAACTAAGAACCGAATCAAGAGCATAATACATTTTAAACAATATATACAAAAAGAATAACATGCTTAGGAATAGATCTAACCAAAAGATGAAAGACGTCTACAAGAAGAAATAAAAACCACTGCACAAAGAAATCAGAGATGACGCAAACAAATGGAAAAAATTCCATGCTCATGGATTGGAAAAATCAATATTATTAAAATTATCATATTGTCCAAAGCAATTTACAGATTCAATGCTATTTCTACTAACTACCAATGACATTTTTCATAGAACTTGAAAAAAAATTAACAGTTCATATGGAATCATAAAACAAACCAAATAGCCAAAGCAGTCCTAAGCAAAAAGAACAAAGCTAGGGGAATGACATTACCTGACTTCATATTATACCCCAAAGCTACAGTAACCAAAATAGCATAGTACTCATACAAAAATAGACACATAGACCAATGGAACAGAATAGAGAAGCTAGCAATAAAGCTGCACAGCTACACCCATCTGATCTTCAACAAAGTAAAAAAAAAAAATAAGCAATAGAGAAAGAACTCTCTGTTTAACAAATGGTGATGGGATAACTGGCTAGCCATTTACAAAAGAATGAAACAGGGCCCCCATCTTTAACGACATACAAAAATTAATATAAGATGGATTAAAGACATCAGTTTAAAACCTCAAACTATTAAAATCTTAGAAGAAAACCTAGAAAGTACTCTTCTTGACATGAACCTTGGCAAAGAACGTTTGACTAAGTCCCCAAAAGCAATTGCAACAAAAACAATAATTGGCAAGTGGGACCTAACTAAACTAAACAGCTTCTGCACAGCAAAAGAAACTATCAACAGAATAAACAGGCAACCTACAGAATGGGAGAAAATATTTATAAACTATGCATCTGACAAAGGCCTAATGTCCAGAATGTATAAGCAACTTTTAAAAATCAGCAAGCAAAAAATAAATCTCATTACAAAGTGGGCAAAGAACATGAACAGACACTTCTCATAAGAAGAAAACCATGCAGCCAACATACATATGAAAAAAGTGCTTATCATCATTAATCATCAAGGAAATGCAAATCAAAACTACATGAGACACCATCTCACACCAGTCAGAATAGCTTTTGTTAAAAAGTCAAAAAAACAAACAAACAAAAAAATGTTGGCCAAGCTGTAGAGAAAAGAAAATGCTTATGTGCTATTGGTGGGAATGTAAATTAGCTCCTGCACAGTGGAGAGCAGTTTGGCGATTTCTCAAAGGACTGCGTTGAGCCAGCTATCCCATTAGTAGGTGTACACCTGAAGGAATACAAATCTTTCTACCAAACAGACACCTCAACCTGTATGTTCATCACAGCACTATTCACAAGTGCAAAAATATGGCATCAACCTAGGTGCCCATCAATGGTGGATTGGATAAAGAAAATATGACATATATGCACCATTAAATATTATCCATCCATAAATAAGAATAAAATTATGTTCTTTGCAGTAAGACGGATGCAGCAGGAGGCCATTTTCCTAAAGAAAATAATAGAAAAACAAATACTGTTATGTTCTCACTTGTAAGTGCGACCTAAACATTGGGTACACACTGACATGAAGACGGGAAAAATAGACACTGGAAAATACAAGAAGGAGGAGGAAGGGAGGGGGTCAAGGGCTGAAAAATTACCTATTGGGTACTGTCTTCACTTCTTGGTTATGTTAGTCCATTTTTGCACCACTATAAATACCCGAGGCTAGGCAAGTTATAAACAAAAAAAGAGGTTTAATTGTGTCACAGTTCTGCAGGCTGTACAAGAAGCATGGCACCAGCATCTGATTGTAGTGAGGACTCAGGAGCTCACAATCACGGCAGAAGGTAAAGGGAAAGTAGTCAATGTCACATAGCATAAGTAGGAGTAGGAGATGTGGGGGAAGAGTCACACACTTTTAAACAATAGATATTGTGAAAATTCACTCTTTAACTATCATGAGGACAGAACCCAGCCATTCATGATGGATCAACCCTGCAGTATCTTCTGCAAGGCCCCACCTCCAACATGGGGAATCATATTCACCATCAGATTTGGAGGAGACAGACACCCAAATTATATCACTGTCTGACAGGTTCAATCATCTTCCAAACCTCAGGGTCATGCAATACACCTTTTAACAAACCTGCACATGTACCCCCAGGAATCTAAAGTAAAACACGTAATAGACAAAAGAAAAGGAAAGTCAGATACTAGTTACATTTCAGGCACTCCTGAAAGTGTAGTCTACATACTGCTTCCCTTTCTTACAACAGTTAATGTGGCAAACCCTGTGCCTCAACCTTATCATTTCAGTGCACGCTAGCCAATTTTCTTGATGCCAGCTACATTTCTTTATCTGAGGATCATCTTCCCACTACTTTTCCACCACCCAGCAAGCCAGAAGTGTTAAAAAATTTAACACTCCCAAAGAGCAACTTTCAACCAAAAACTTATTCAAAAAATGAGAAAAGGAAGCAAAAGTGAAAAAATAACTAGTGGGACAAAAGGAAACAACAGAAAGACTTTAGATTTATGTGCAATCATATCAATAATCACTCTAAATGAAAATGTTCTATATACCCCCAATTAAAATGTAAAATTTATATTAGTATGAATAAAGCAAGATCAAAAACATACCTCCTAAAAGAAACTTACTTTAAATATTAAGGGACAAATAAGTTAAAGTTAAAAGGCTGGGAAAAGATAAGCCTTGCTAAAACTAACCAAAGGAGAGCTGGCACAGCTGTCTTAACATCGGACTAATTAAATGCTACAACAAAGAAAACAAACAGGGATAATGATGGTAATTCCATATTAATAGAGAAACCAATTTATCAAGAAGACACAACAATCCTAAGCATTTATGCACTTAATAGCGGAGCTTCCAAATATATGAAGCAAATACTGACAGAAATGTAAGGAGAAATAAATAAATCCACAACTAGAGTTGGAGATTTCAACATTGTTCCCTAAAAATTAATAGCACAAGTCAATAAAATATCAGTATTGACATAAAAGACTTAGACAACACTATCAAAACAAACATTATCGTTTATAGAACACTTCAATAATAGCAGAAAACACATTGTTTTTAAATGCAGTTAGAATAGTAGCCAAAATAGATTATATTTTATCTCAATAAAAAGCCTCAATAAATTTAAAAGAATTCAAGCCATGGAAAGTATGTTCTCTAACTCAATGTAACTAAATGAGAAACCAATGATAAATAGAAAGCTCTCTGGAAAATTCCTAAATAGTTTGAAAATAAATAATATAATTCTAAATAATCTATGAGTGAAAAAAGGAACAAAAATAACTAGAGAAATTATTTTTAATGGATAGAAGATGAAAACGCAATGAATCAAAAATGAGCGGAAACCCAGTAAAGTGGCTCATAGAGGGAAGTTTGTAACGCTAACCACCAACATTAGAAAAGGAATATTTCTTAAATGACTCTGAGCCAGAATTCCTCTGATGCCAAAATCATACAAAGACGTTACATGAAAAGAAGATGACAGATACCACACTTTGTTCTCTCCTAAGTGAAACTTCGTTCCAACCAACTGCACTGTTCCTTTCTCTTTGCCTCTGTACATCTTCTTATTCCAACCTGGAATGCCTTTTCTGTTAACTGTGGATAATCACTAACTTCTTGCATGAAATTTTTACCCACCACTATAGCAGACAATCATCCATCCTTCTTCTACAATTCTGCAGCATGTTTTGCCTTGAATAAAGCAAATGATACTTTGAACTGCAGGTTTTCTTTATTCTCTTCTTTTTTTAAACACAGGGTGAACTTTTTAAGTACAAGATGTTTTTTCTATTTTAAAATATTTAATTGGCAAATAAATATTGTATCTATTCAAGATGTATAATGCAATGATTTGATATATGTATACATTGTGTAACAATAACTGCAATCAAATTAATTAACCTATCCATCACACTCATGCTGTAAGTGAGATCCCCAGAACTTAGTCATATTGTAACATAAAGTTTGAAGTTGGACCAACATCTCCCCATTTTTTCTACACCCAGTGCCCAGAAACCACAGTTTTACTTTGCTTCTGTGGGTTGGACTTTATTAAAATTTCACATATAAACAAGATTATGCAGTTTTTGTCTTTCTTTGACTGGCTAAATATACTTATAACAATGTCTTCCAAACATTCATGTTGTCACAAATGACAGAATTTTCTTCCTTTCAAAGTCTGTATGTATTATATTGTGTATACGTGTCACATTTTCTTTCTTCATTCAAACACTGTTGGACACCTAGGTTGATTCCTTATCTTAGCTATTGTGAATAATGCTGCAGTGAACCTGGGAGTGCAGATATCTCTTCAATACACTGATTTCAATTACTTGAGATTTGCACCAGAAGTAGGGTTGCTAGAGCATATGGTAATTCTATTTTTAGTGTTTAGAGAAACCTACACACTGTCTTCCATAATGGCCGTATTAATTAATATTCTCACCAACAGTGTACAGTTGTTCTCTTTGCTCCACATCTTGGCCAACACTTTTTACATTTCATTTTTTTGATAATTGTTATTATAACAGGTGTTGTCTTTTATCTTTTTGATACTAGTCATTCTAACAGTGATAAGATGATATTTGTTTATAGTTTTTAGTTGCATTTCCATGATGATTAGTGATGTTGAACAGTTTTTCAGATATCTGTTAGCCATTTGTACATCTTCTTTCGAAAAATGTTTACTCAGGTTTTTGTCAGTCTTTAATGGGGATATTCGTTTTCTTGCCATTGAGTTGAGTTCCTTATACATTTTGGATATTATTTGCTTATCAAATGTATGATTTGCAAATATTCTCTCTCAGTCTGTGGGTTGTGTCTTCACTCTGTTAATTGTTTGCTTTACTATGCAGAAGTTTTTAGTTTGATGCAATCTCATTTGTCTATTTTTGCTGTTGCTACTTTTGCTATGTTTCTGGGGTCACATCTAAAGACATCCTTGCAAAGACCAATGTCGTGGATGGTTTTCCCTGTGTTTTATTCTATTAGTTTTACAGTTTCAGGTCTTACATTTAAGTTTTAATCAACTTTAAGTTATTTTTGTATATGGTATGAGATAAGGTCCAATTTCTTTATTCTGTGTGTGGATATCCAATTTTCCCAAGAACATTTATTGAAGAAACACTCCTTTCCCCATTGTGTATTCCTGGCATCTTTGTCAAAAATCAATTGATCATAAATGTGTGGATTTATTTCTGGGCTCTCTATTCTGTTTCACTGGTCTATGTGTCTATTTTTATTCCAGTACCATGTTGTTTTGATTACTATATCTTTGTAAGTCATTTTGAAGTCAGGTAGTGTGATGCCTCCACTTTCGTTCTCTCTACTCCAGATTGCTTTGTCTATATGGCATCTTTTGTGATTCCATATGAACTTTAGAACTTTTTTCCATGTATCTGAAAAATGCCATTGAAAATTTGAGGAGCATTGCATTGAATCTGTAGATTGATTTTTGTAGTACAGACATTTCAACAATATTAATTCTTCCAATTTAAAAACATAGGCATCTTTCTATTTACTTGTGTCTTTTTCAATTTATTTCATCAATGTATTTCCATTTTCATTGTAGAGATCTTAAACCTCCTTGGGTAAATTTACTCCTAAGTATTTTTTGATGCTATTTTAAATGGGATTATTTTCTTAGTTTATTTTTCAGATAGTTCATTGTTAGTGCGTAGAAACACTCTTGATTTTTGCATACTGGTTTTGTATCCTCCGAATTTACTGAATTTATTTACTAGTTCAACAGTTTTTGGTGGGGTCTTTAGGATTTTCTTTTTTTTTTTTTTACTTTAAGTTTTAGGGTACATGCACAAAACGTGCAGCTTTGTTACCTATGTATACATGTGCCATGTTGGTGTGCTGCACCCATCAACTCATCATTTAGCATTAGGTATATCTCCTAATGCTATCCCCCACTCCACAACAGGCCCTGGTGTGTGATGTTCCCTTTCCTGTGTCCAAGTGTTCTCATTGTTCAATTCCCACCTATGAGTGAGAATATGCTGTGTTTGATTTTTTGTCCTTGGGATAGTTTGCTGAGAATGATGGTTTCCAGCTTCATCCATGTCCCTACAAAGGACACAAACTCATCATTTTTTATGGCTGCATAGTATTCCATGGTGTTTATGTGCCACATTTTCTTAATCCAGTCTATCATTGTTGGACATTTGGATTGGTTCCAAGTCTTTGCTATTGTGAATAGTGCCGCAATAAACATACGTGTGCATGTGTCTTTGGATAATGTCAACAAACAGAAACAATTTCACTTCTTCCTTTCCTTTATGGATGCCTCATTTCTTTTTCTTCCCTACTTTTTTGGCTAGGACTCTAGTAGTATGTTGAATAGAGAGATGAAAGGGGCATCCTCATCCTGCTCTTGTTCTTAGAGAAAAACTTAATTTTTAACCATTAAGAATGATATTTGTTCTGGGTTTTTCATGTATGGCTTTTATTATTTTGAGGTAAATTTCTTCTATATCTGATTTGTTCAGAGTTCTTGTCATGAAAATATGTTCAATTTTGTCAAATGTCTTTACTGCATCTATTGAGATATTCAAATGGTGTTTTACTTCCACTTTAATATAATATATTACATTTATGGATTTGTATATATTGAACCATTCTTGCACCCCAGGGATAAAGCCTACTTAATCTTGATGATTTTTTAATGTGCTGTGAATTTAGTTTGCTAGTATTTTGTCAAGGGTTTTTGCCTCTATCTTCATAAGAATGTCTGCCTGTAATTTACTTTTCTTGTAGTCCCTTTGTCTGGCTTTGTATTAGGATAGCGCTGGCTTCATAAAATGTTTTACAAGTAAGTATTCCCTCCTTTTCAATTTATTTTCAATCTCTATCAGATACAGTATAGAAGTATATTATGTTCACCTGCAAAGGATAGCGGTATACATTAAGTTTTGCCACAGGGATATTTTAAATTTCCTCTTCTCGTATATAGTACACTTTGAAACAAACTTGATTTCCTGGGCATTCTGCAAGAAATCATCATGCTAGTGAAAGGGAAAGTTGCCTGAACTAAAAATACACTCAAACATCTGAGATGTTGCAAATAGTTCGACTGGTTACTCAAATATCTGGAAAAAATGATTGGAAGATATGAGACAAAGAAACCTGGATAAGAAGTATGTGGATATAACTATGGGTATGTGCACAATGGGTGCAGACTGTTTTGTCTCATATCAATGTCAATGAATATTACCCCCTGTGGAAGTCACCGAACAGGTAGATGGGATGACTTGACCAGTTGATGGCAACCACCCTTTTTCTTCAACCACCTCAGTGCTAACACAGTGGATTCATGAACAACATAACCATGGTGGTAGGGATAGAAGCTACACAGAAATACAGCAGCATAGGCTTCCCTTGCCAAGGTTGATCAAACAGCCTCACTAATGCTGTTGATGTTGCTGTTGCTGAACATTCATCTTGCAATAGAAAGGCCTGATTCTGGGCCATCAATATAATCCCATCCCTTGACTACCCCAACCCCTGAGCCACAGGTGTTAAGTTGATCATATCAGACTCCTTCCACATTGCAAGAAGCAATGTTTAGATCTCACTGGATTAACAAAATTTTTAGATAAGAATTTGCCTTTCCAGTCTGTGATGCTGTATTAGTCCACTTTCACACAGCTATAAAGAACTGCTTAAAACTGGGTAATTTATTGAAGATAGCAGTTTAATCAACTCAGTTCTGCATGGCTGAGGAAGCCTCAGGAAACTTACAATCATGGTGAAAAAGGAAGCAAACAGGCCCTTCTTCACATGGTGGCAGAAGAGAGAAGTGCTGAGTAAAGGGGTAAAAGCCCCTTATGAAACTCAGATCTCATGAGAACTCACTCACTATCACAAGAACATCATGAGAGTAAGAACCCCCAAGATTCAATTACCTCCCACCAGGTTCCTCCCACTACATGTGGGGATTATGGAAACTACAATTCAAGATGAGATTTGGGTGGGGACACAGCCAAACCATATCATTTCACCCCTGACCCTTCCCAAATCTCATGGCCTCACATTTCAAAACACAATCATGCCTTTCCAACAGTCCCCCAAAGTCTTAACTCATTCCAGGCTTAACCCAAAAGTCCAAGTCCGAAGTCTCATCTGAGACAACGCAAGTCTCTTCCATCTATGAGCCTGTAAAATCAAAAGCAAGTTAGTTACTTCCTAGAAACAATGGGTGTACAAGTATCAGGTAAATACACCTGTTCAAAATAGGAGAAATTGTACAAAGCAAATGGGCTACAGGCCCCATGCATGTCTGAATTCCAATAGGCCAGTCATTAAACCTTAAAGTTCCAAAATGATCCTTTGACTCCATGTCTCACATCCAGGTCATGCTGATGCAAGAGGTGGGCTTTCATAATTTAGGCAGCTCTGCCTCTGGGGCTTTACAGGGTATAGCTCCCCTCCTGGCTGCTTTCATGGGCTGGCATTTCATGTCTACAGCTTTTCCAGGCACACAGTGCAAGCTGTCGGTGAATCTACTATTCTGGGATCTGGAGGATGGTAGCCCTCTTCTCACAGCTCCACTAGGTAGTGCACCAGTGAGGATTCTTTGTGGGGGCTCCATCCCCATGTGTCCCTTCCACATTGCCCTAACAGAGCTTCTCCATGAGGGCTCTGTCCTTACAGCAAACATCTATCTGGACATCCAGGCATTTCCTTACATCTTCTGAAATATAGGAAAGTGGTTTCCAAACCTCAATTCTTGACTTCTGTGTGTCTGCAGGCCCAACACCATGTGTAAACCACCAAGGCTTGGGGCTTGCACCCTCTGAAGCAATGGCCTGAGCTGTATATTGGCCCCTTTTAGCCATGGTTGGAGCAGTTGTGATGCAGGGCATCATGTCCCGAGGCTGCATAGAGTAGGGGGTCCCAGGGCCCAACCCATGAAACCATTTTTCCCTCTTAAGTCTCCTGGACAGTGATGGGAGGGGCTGCTGTAAAGGTCTCTGATATAACCTGGAGACATTTTCCCTATTGTCTTGGCGATTAACATTTGGCTCCATGTTACTGATGCAAATTTCTGCAGTGGGCTTAAATTTCTCCGCCCCGCCCCTCCCCATGCCCCCAACCCCCCGCCCAGGAAATGGACTTTTCTTTTCTATTGCATTGTTGAGCCACAAATTTTCCAAACTTTTATACTTTGCTCCATCTTGAACGCTTTGCTGCTTACAAATTTCTTCCACCAAATACCCTAAATCATCTCTCTTAAGTTCAAAGTTCCACAGATCTCTAAGGCAGGGACAAAATGCCACTGGTCTCTTTGCTAAAGCATAGCAAGAGTCACCTTTGCTACAGTTCCCAAGAAGTTCCTCATCGCCTTAGCCTGGACTTCATTGTTCATACCACTATCAGCATTTTGGTTAAAGCCATTCAACAAGTCTCTAGGAAGTTCCAAACTTTCCCACATTTCCCTGTCTTCTGAGCCCTCCAAACTGTTCCAACCTCTGCCTGTTACCAGTTTCAAAGTTGCTTCCACAGTTCGGGTATCCTTATAGCAGCACCCCACTCTACCAGTACCAATTTACTGTATTCATTCATTCTCACACTGCTAATAAAGACATACCCAAGACTGAGTAATTTATAAAAGAAAGATAACACATCCTTATTCACATGGTGGCAGGAGAGAAAAGTGCCAAGCAAAGGGGAAAATGCCCCTTATAAAACCATCAATCTCATGAGAATTCACTATCATGAGAACATCATGAGAGTACCTGCTCCCATGATTCAGTTACCTCCCACTGGGTCCCTCCCATGACATGTGGGGATTATTGGAATTACAATTCAAGATGAGATTTGGGTGGGGACACATTCAAACTATGTCAGATGCTTTGTCTATATTATAATTTGAAAGCTCACAGAGTGTCTAATATATTATCATGGGATTCCATCTAACATTATCTCAGACCAAGGGACATAGTTTATGATGAGAAAAGAGCAATAAGCATATGACCATAATATCAATATGGCTTCCTTCATGCCACATCACCCAGAAGCTACTAGCCAACTGAATGTTGGAATGGCCTTATGAGTAGTGCTAGGGTACACTTTGCAGGTGACACCTAGCATGATTGGTACACTGTTTTCCTGTATGTTCTACATACTTTATTTCCTAAATCTCTCTTCAGAAACACCAAAGATAGGATAAACTTCTTCTCACTGACATTTACAATGGAACTGAGTTTTGTTTGTACATGTGTCTAAGTGTGAATGCATGTGCATATGACTGCTGTCATCTCCCTGAACACTGGAACCCCCACACTATTTTAGCTGAACCCCTTTCATTGTGGACCTCACAAATATACATAATAAATCATATGACACAGGTTTCTATTAGTCATAATTCTTTCTGAGGATTGGATCTTTATTAGAACAAACTGTGTATTCCCCCTCCCTACACTGACTGTCAAAATTTTTTTGTACAAACAGAAAAAAAAACTAATTATATATATAGTTTTTTCAAATACAAGTTTTTAAAAGTTTTGTAGCATATTATTGTCAGCTACATCAGGAAGATAAACAAAGAGTGGGACACACCAGTTAAAGTGGTCAGCTATCAATTAATCTAAGCCTTAGTTTTCTTGTTCTATAAAACAGAAAGGATAATAGTATCTGTTTTATACTATTATAACAATAATTAAAGGAGGGAACTTATGTAAAAACCCTAGTTTGTTGCCAAATAGCAAGTTGTCAATAAGTGTTAGCGATCATTAAAGTTAATTCAATTAGAAAAGAAGTAGAAAAACCAGAGCTGGAAGAAACTTTGCAAAACATGTTTAACATCATGGTCAAATCCTAGCTCTGCCATTTAACAAACAAATTACTTGCTCTCTCTTTGCCACATTTTCCTTAATTGCAAGTGGATATAATTGTTTGGCTTAAGTCCTATAACACATCTGAAGTATTTAAAAAATATATTGTAATCATAAAAAAAATTAGGCTACCATGATCAATATTTTTGGCTTCTTTGCAAATGAGAAAAACACCACCCACAGTAGTTATGAGTAGCCCAAAATCACAGAGCAAGTTACTCTCATTTTTGGAACTAGAACCCATTCCTTCCGATTCCCATCCTAGTGCAAAAATGTCTGGGAGCTTACTAAGATCCCAGGAGCAGAAAACTGGAATGGTAGTCTAGATTCAGCAGCTTTTGAAACCTCGTCAATGACAAGAAAAGACCAAGAGGTGGCAGCACGTCCACATACAAAGAGGTCGGCTATATTGCTTTCCTGTCAGCAAATTCTTTCCTCTTCCTGCCGAAATATAACAGAAAACCTGACACTCAGCCGTTAATATCTTGACCATGCCACAGTATCTCCTTTTCTTGTGTGAGCTTCTAATATCCTAATTATGAACTTTGTTACCAACTCAGAACAGAATGTCTCACAACAGTTTTGCTCCTGAAATCCTTATTGTTAGTTGACTTGCAGAACCAAAAACAACCATGACAAATTTAAAAAGCATCATTGCACCTAGCATTTACCGATTAAATCATTCTAGTGTTTATCAAGTAGCAAATGTTACCATATGTTTTGTAGGTAGTTCACTAGGGAAAGTTAAGATGCCTCATCTCCACCCCGACAGCCTCCTCCCACCCAAAACAAATCTTTGAAATAAAAGGAAATTAAGATTGCTCATTCTGAGGTTAGAACCACAAATGAGTGTAAAATAATTGGGAACAATATACAAAGTCGCTTTTGAAATATCTGTTTTATTACACTGGGTGGCAATAAGACCAAATTCTTTCTTTATCTAAATTAGAGCAGATCCATTAGAAGAGGAGTTTGCTGAATGGAACCACGAAAAAAAAAAAAAATCTCTGAAAACACAGTAAGGAGTAAGCAGAAAATGGAGTAGGGAACTCTGCAGTGTCAATCTTATGGCAGCCTAGCCAGATGCCACTAATATTCCCTTCTCATGTCATGTTCACCAACCAAGCTTCAAATCAGCATATGGCACCCCCCCGCAATAAAGCCTCTCCCCAAGAAGCCAGAATGAATCAGGCCCACGTGAGTGTCCCTGCCCAAGAAAAATACATTTCTAACGAAACCTGGCACTCCACTACTATGTATCATTCTCTTGCGAGCTTTGGGGGGACTTTTAGGTATCATCTTGGATATTCTTTGGCTGAATTCAGTACCCATAAATCCAATTGCCCTTGAGACCAAGATTCTGTACTTGAAAACCTAATTAGATCCTGGACTATATTTCTCCAAAGTAAATTTTTTTCAGATCTCTTGGCAACCACGAAGCTTCCTCGCATGACACCTAAAGTCTATGGGACTTACCTTTCATACATCAACTTATCTGCTTTGGGCGTATTCAGTTTTCTTACAAATACGCTCTTATTTTTGTCCTCTGCCAGGATGGAAATAAAGGTCACTCGCCTACTTCATAGACTTTATGATGGCTACTAATTTGCCATGTAGTCTCTTTCTCAGCCTTATGGGCAATCAGACAATTGGATGATATCAGAAAGAATACCAAGTCAATGGGGTAAGTATATTCCAGGAGGAACCAAATATGCTGTAATATTGTTTTAGGCCAAATACAATGACAACTGAAAATGTCACTCTTTTTTTTTCCCAGTTCAAATGTGACTTGTTAATCTTTCATGTACAATTCCTTCCTTCCATTTGCCAAGACAGTGAAAGGTGACTGATCTCACTGATTTCACACAAAGCACTTCTTTCTAGTTAAGTGTATCTGGTTGAATGATGTATTCATGGTCACATGAAATATTCAACTGACAGAGACACCAGAGATTATGGAATTCAACCTTTTATTTTGCAAATAAGGAAATGAAAATTTCACACAAGCAACCTGACTCATGGTCATGCAGCTATTTGGTGGCAGAGCTTTAGACTGACTATCATGCCATGGTGGCCACCTGTGCCATGCTAAAAATAACCTCAATAAAAATAATAATGAGATTTCACTTAGGGTAGAATTGACCCCAACTTAAACTAGATGAATATTCACTGACATTTCCGGGTTCCAAAGTGGATTTATGGTCAAAAGAATCTATGTGTCTCCATTTGAAGTTTCTCTGAAAGTCCCTGGTGCCCCCACTAAAAACATATGCAAACACTTGAGTTACCTAGAGTCTGTCAACATGTGACATGCCACGATTAAAATAGCATTACTTTAGCTTAAGGTTTTATCCATTGTTACATTTGGAATACAACTACACCTGTGAGATAATGTTGCCAGTCGGTCAACACTTGAATAACTCTTCAAAGTAAAAGAACTTCTTTATCTATAAAGAGCTAGTTGTTAATTCATTGACTTCTTTGATAATGCATTTAAAGAGTTCCTGCTCTTATAAGACAGGGCTAAGAATTAGAAATGAGTAAGACGGGACTTCTGTTTTCACAGATTTCACAGTCTATCAGGTGAGAGAATGATTTAATAGGATGTGATGCGTCATAGCAGTTTTGTAAAAACACAGTCTTGTAGCTGCAGAGGGCTGGAAACTAATTTTATTTAATGAAAATGGGGTAGAAAAGAATTAGGGAAGTCTCTTAGAGCAATCCACAGAAGGCATTGATGGGAGGATATTAGAAAAATTATGAGGGTATTCTATATCTAAGGGGAATGAGGAGAAGACAGTGAGAAAGAGGAGAATCAAAAGCCAGATATCTGGCTTACTTAAAGCCTGACTTTCTCAATTGCCATTTGATCAAGTCCAGCTAGACCTAAGACAATTTAGATGAGTTGAAAAAAATATATAGACCTTTTACTGTATCACATTCCAGAGTGAACACAAAACTAACATGATGCATCAATACACAGGGCTGAACAACTGAAACGACTCATGAGACTCCACAGAGTACAGTCTTAATAAAGTAAAGGATACTCTAAAGTAGGTGGGGGGAAAGCACAGAAAACCTCAGAAAAGTCCAAGACCTTCAGACCCAGCTTCCAGGATCATTTCTCAATTGATTAGGATGCGATTTTAATCTGAATCATGAACTACTAAGATATATACAAGAAAACTTGAGCTCTGGAGAATCACAGTCTTGTCCAAGGAGTGGTCTTTCATATCTGTCTGGTCTCATAACCAAAACTGGGCTGCATGACAAAAGCGAACAGAAGAAACAAAGAGAACATAGTAGAAACTAGGTAAAAAACACCAATCTGGAATTTTTTGTTGTTTTTTTAATGAACAAAGCTAATAAACTACTACAGATCTCTCACTTGGCCTGTCTCAGGTCCTAGCACAGGAATATTTGTCACCAGTTAGTTGAGCTTATTCTGATTTGGCTAAGGTTCCAGCAGTGTCTCCAGGAATCTCTGGAAATAAGTCAGTCCTCCCTCCAGACAACAATGGCTCCAAGCATCCCTGGAAATAAACATAGGATTGCAGTAGACCAGCTAAGATTAATCTTGTATTTATGTATATAACAGCGCTTCCTCAAACCAGAAGAAGACAATTAAGAATTAAACAGTTAAAACAAAGACAGAAACAGTATATTTGGCTCCATTTCCACTCTTCATCCCTACCTTCCCCCGCATTCAAATATTTCCCTTTCAGCCTTTATCGGGACTCAGAATGTGTCTGAAATCTTCTTGAACTCCAGCTTCAATTGAGACTGATTCCTGCTCTTTCTCCTGGAGCCAGAGTTAGTTGTGAGAATCACCAATACCCAACTCATGGCTGACTACTCTTATGTCTGTTGCTGGAGTTAGTGAGTTCTCTCTCCAGCCTCAATAACTGTGCTGCTCCCAGGTGCAAACGGGATGTAACTGTTTCTGTCCCTGCTACAGATGAAACCTTTTGAGAGGTGACAGCATGCTGGCAGCCCTCACAGCCCTCACTCGCTCTCAGCGCCTCCTCAGCCTCGGTGTCTGCTCTGGCCATGCTCTAGGAGCCCTTCAGCCCGCCACTGCGCTGTGGGGGCCCCTCTCTGGGCTGGCCGAGGCCAGAGCCAGCTCCCTCTGCTTAAGGGGAGGTGTGGAGGGGGAGGTGTGGAGGGAGAGGCGCGGGCGGGAACCCAGGCTGCGTGCAGCAATCGTGGGCCAGCACGAGTTCTGGGTGGGCGTGGGCTTGGCGGCCCCGCACTTGGAGAAGCCAGCCATCTCCGCCAGCCCCCGGCAGTGAGGGGCTTAGCACCTGGGCCAGCAGCTGCGGAGGGTGCTCTGGGTCCCCCAGCAATGCCAGCCTGCCAGCACTGTGCTCCAATTCTTGCTGGGCCTCAGCTGCCTCCTTGCAGGGCAGGGCTCGGGACCTGCAGCCCGCCAGGCCAGAGCCTCCCCTGCAGTGGGCTCCTGCCGGGCCGAGCCTCCCCGATGAGCACCGCCCCCTGCTCTAAGGCACCCACTCCCATGACTGCCCAAGGGCTGACTAGTGCTGGCACATGGCGCTGGACTGGCAGGCAGCTCCACCTGCAGCCCCCTGTGGGATCCACTAGGTAAAGCCAGCTGGGCTCCTGAGTCTAGTGGGGACTTGGAGAACCTTTATGTAAGACTAGGGGATTGTGAATGCATCAATCAGCACTCTGTGTCTAGCTCAAGGTTTGTAAATGCACCAATCAATGTTCTGTGTCTGGCTAATCTAGTGGGGACTTGGAGAACCTTTATGTCTAGCTGAGGGATTGTAAATACACCAATCAGCACTCTGTGTGCAGCTCAAGATTTATAAACACACCAATCAGCACCCTGTGTCTAGCTCAAGGTTTGTAAATGCACCAATCAGTGCTCTGTGTCTAGCTAATCTAGTGGGGACTTGGAGAACTTTTGTGTCTAGCTCAGGGATTGTAAATGCACCAATCAGTGCCCTGCCAAAATGGACCAATCAGCTCTCTGTAAAATGGACCAATCAGCAGGATGTGGGTGGGGCCAGATAAGGGAGTAAAAGCAGGCTGCCAGAGCCAGCAGTGGCAACCCACTGCCGCTGGGTCCCCTTCCCCACTGTGGAAGATTTGTTCTTTTGCTCTTTGCAATAAATTTGCTGCTGCTCACTCTTAGGGTCCACGCCACCTTTATGAGCTGTAACACTCACCGGGAAGGTCTGCAGCTTCACTTGTGAAGCCAGCGAGACCACGAACCCACCAGGAGGGACGAACAACTCCCGAAACGCGCCTTTAAGAGCTGTAACACTCACCGCAAAGGTCTGCAGCTTCACTCCTGAAGCCAGTGAGACCACGAACCCACCAGAAGGAAGAAACTCTGGACACACCATCTTTAAGAACTGTAACACTCGCCGCAAGGGTCCGCAGCTTCATACTTGAAGTCAGTGAGACCAAGAACCCACCACTTCCAGACACACTTTTGATCTTTTGCAATGGTTAAGACTGGACACTCTGAGCCTCGCCTGCTCGTGTGGCATTGGCCTCATACCAAGCTTTGGAGCCTACTTGCATAAATTGCTTTCTACCCAGATTGCAGGATTTGCATGGTAAACTCTCCAGCAGTAGAAATGGAAAGGACTTTGAGTCAAGGGAGGAACACAGAGCAGGCAGCACAAAGACACACATATCCAGAGATATCTCGGGGATATTTTGCAAGCCTTCTCCTGAGGGCTGTTGATGGACTTGAATCCATTAAAATTGCTGCTTCTCTAAAAGCTTGACTCACTGTCCTAGAAACAATGTATATCAGGGTGGACTACAACTAGGATTTGGATGACAGTTTAACAATTCAGGTCCTGACTTGAAAAACCACTATAGCACTCCAGCACGTCTTTTTTCCCACCACAAAAACAATAATGCTTGGAAGTTCATAAGCAAGTAAGCTGAGTTTTTGATTCAGCAATATAGTCAGGACTCATTAAATAAGGGTGGGAATTATCCCTATGCCAAGGAGCCAAATGCTACTTGAATGTAAACATGACTTGGGAACACAGAAGGTGAATCTCATGTACAACAGGATGCAGAACTGAGAAGCAAACCTCAAGGAGGGCCTTGCAAGTGTTAATGAGTGAATGCCATCCCCACCACAGCCAGCCTGAGTGCATGTTGGAGACCGCATGCCCCAGGTTTCCTCCCACACAGCACAGAAAGGAATGGTCAGAGTTACGCAGTGATTTACATTCACCCTCTGATCGGGAAGCCCAGAAAACATGGACTAAATCCCAATACAGTGGAGTTAGAGATAAATATCTAGGGCTGCTTTCCTCTTTATTTCATTTCCTGCTCATAGCAAAGAATCTGGTCATGGAGAGGGAAGCCTAATTCTAACAAATCTACTCTTAAACAAAACTATTTCGCAGCCCAGGGTTTTTGCAGGGACGATAATGTTTTCAGCCAGACTCTGCCCAGCAATTCCAGAATCATCAGGGATAAGCTCGCAATTCAATAAAAGGCTACAGAAGCAAACTAGGCATGGATGTCACTCCACAAGAATACACAAAGATTGATCATGGCAAGAGTGTGATGAACAAAAACAGTCCTCATATCTAGATTTACAGCCTTCTCTTCTCAGCTCCCCAGTCCAGGCAAAACATTTAGCCGTGGTCAATTTAATGCTATGCCTCCTTTTTCTGTCTCCAAAAAAGAAAGGTCAGAAGTGGGATGAACAGACCCTTGCAAGAAAATCGGAGTGGAAAATAAACCGCCCTCTCCGGGGAGCTGAAACCAGAAAATGTATGACAACTGAGCAGCTCATCAGATGGAGGGGAGAAATACCAAAAGACAAGAGAGATCAGGGAAGGTATGGGCAGAAATGAGAAGAAAAATTTTTCTAAAGTAGAAAAGTGAGTGGCTCCTGTAAGTTGCGAGTGCTAGAAAATAACAGAGGACAGGTGGAAAATAGGCACTTTGAATTTGCACTTAATAGGCTTTTGGTAAATGTAAAAAACAGTTTCTTCCTTTGAAAATGTTTTTAAAAAGCAAGATATTCACCAAAGACATATGAATGCCCATTAACAGATCAAAATGTGTTGAAACAAAATTGTGATTAAAAAGGCATCGTATTGACTCTACCAAAATGGCGAGTGGCAGCAGGGGACACACAGAGATGCTGCTGTCCCTGCAGTTCTCAATCCCAGTCCCAAGAGGTTCATTACGCTAACGGAACTTCTGTGCTGCGTGACTGCATGGCTAATTTGCAGCCGCTATCCCTCCAGCTAAAAAATGTCTAGACAGGGAGGCTCCTGACACAAATAGAGACATTAATGATTAACATGAAATTCATCTTTACATCAGTAGCAGGATAATGGAAGTTTATAGGAATAAAAGGCCCGTTGTCATTTGGCAGTTTGTGAGGATGAGCACATCATATTTTAAGGTTTAGGGTCTTTAGACACATACTCCCTTAGTATACTAAGGACCTGGAGGCAATCTTGCCAGACTTCCTCTGCAGGCATCTTTAATTTTCTTGTATCATAAATTTTTATCTTACATTCTATACAAGGGGGAATCACTGAGCTGATGAGTGAGCCTAACCATTTGCCCGTAAGTATGAGGCTTTGTTGTTTTATATTCAGTGTGAATATGATAACTCACATAACCTCTCTTATGAACCTCTCTTTTTCTCTTTTTGGGTGGGGGGGGGTGATTTTTTAAATGGCCTTGAAAAGAAAGCCAACTTCTGGTATTGGAGATGGAAGCAAAGAATAATAAAGAGTAAAAGTAATCGTTCTCAGATTGAAAACAAAAGATTTGCTGTAATGTAAAAATGGAAAATCAAATTTAGTAAAAGCTTATATCTACAAGTTGAATAAATTCAAATGCTGCTTACACAGAAATAGGAGAAAAATTTAATAGAACTATTTCAGGAGCATTGCCAACGCTGAAAAAGCTACTTGTCAAGTGAGAGATACAACAGTAGTGAAATCTGAAAAGGTGATTTACTTTTCATGCCAGGATTAGCACAGGAAAACAAATGGTTCTTAGTAGAAATGTACTTCAGGACAAAGTCAGAAACTTGGCAATACACATTCTTAAATTACACATAGTAAAATGTTCTAGTGAGCTTGTCTAATCCAAGTTTACTATTGAGTAGAAGTTTACCACTGAGTTGGTAAGAGAATTTTAAGGGCTGTTTTCCCTGCTTCATATAATCAAACAAAGAACATTGACTGACTTTCCTGATTTATCAGATATTTTTGTTTTTATGTTTTTCCTGAACTGAAAAGCCAAAGTGGCCCATTGCAGAGGAGGTTAGAAACCAAAATAAATGATCAACACAGACAGCATATATCTACAGTAGATGAAAGTGCTTTGGCACACAAATATCCCCAAGACAGATGAGCTTCTGGGTTAAAGCAGGTAAAAAGTGACTCATCTTCTTTAGGACAATGCTGAAGTCTTCATTTTAAGCTGGACTTGTTTCACCATTTAGGAAAACCCCCATGATGCCAAGAGAGAACAATAAGAACTTAGTGAGGGTATATTGACAGTATAAAAAAAGGAAAGAATAATAATGCCAGTATTTTTTCATGTATTAAAACATGTATCCCAGATAAAACATGTGTCCCAGAATTTAAAGTAAAATAAATAAATAAAATTAAATAAAAATGCTTCAACAATGCCACATGAAATAAATTTTAATAGTCTTCTTTATTTTAGTAACTTTATCCATTACTTTAGTCTTATATTTATAGAAATGTTAATGCCCAAAGAACCAACTGAAAAGTAGAGAACAGAAAGTTCTCAGAAAAAGAAATGTAACTGCAGCCCTAAACTTATGAAAAGATACTCATCCCTCTCATACAATGAAAATTAAGACTACACAGAAATAGCATTTCTCACCTATTTGGTAAAAATTCAAAAGCTTAATAATACACCAGCTTCTGGGGAAACTGTAGAGAAACAGGCACTCTCTCACATTGCTATAATGAATGTGCAGTATGTTTCAACTTCTAAGGAATGCAATTGTGTAATATCTATCAAAATTATAAATGCGAAATATCCATTGTTCTTTATCCATTGACAGATGAGTAGATAAAGAAAATGTGGTATATACGTACAACAGAATATTAGTCAGCCTTAAGAAAGAGAGAAATTCTGCCATTTGTGGCAACATGGTTATACATTAAGTAAAATAAGTCAGATACAGAAAAACACTGTATGATTTCACTTATATGTGGAATCTAAAATAGTCAAACTCATAGAAGCAGAGGGTAGAATGGTGGTTGCCAAGAGCTGGGGAGAGGGGAGAATGAGGAGTGATGGTTAAAGGGACAAAGTTTCAGTTATGCAGGAGAATTTAATACCTGAGATCCAACATATAGCATAGTGCCTATAGCAAGCAATACTGTATTGTATACTTTAAAATGCTAAGGGGGTAGATTTTACATTATGTTATTATTTTATCTTACCACAAAATAATAATAATAAAGAGAGCAGAAGGAAACTTTGGGAGGTGATGGATATAATTATGGCCTGGATGATTGCGATGGTTTCATTGATGTGTGCTTTTATTCCAAAACCTATTGAGATGAATACATTAAATATATACAACTTTCCATATGGCAATAATGCCTTGAGAAATGGTTTAAAAAATGCAAATGCATTTACATTTTGACTTGTATCTAGTAGTATCTTACTACTAGGACTTTATCTGATAGATATTCCTGCATATGTTCAAAATGACTTTTGTTAGTTATTCACTGCAGCATTGTTTAAAGGAGAAAAAATTAGAAAGCTCCCAAATGTGCATTCATAAGAGACTGGTAGACGGATTGCAATTAAAAATGAATGAAGAAGCTCTCTGCCTATTGATCTGGAAAGAAACCCAGGATATATTAATAAAAGCAAAGCAAAGGATTATGAGCATACTGTGTTACCTTTATATAAGAAAGAGATGGAGTGGGGACCAACAACTAAATTCATGCCTATATTTACATTAAAGAAACACTGGACAGATACTAAAGGAAGTAATAGAAGTTGTTGCTGGGACAGCCAGGTGAGAAGGACTCCCTGGCAGAGCTTCCAATCAGCCTGCGTACTAGGAGGAATGTACAATGGGATATAGTCACAGAAGTTTGCACCATTTGCAGCCCCTCATCTTCCTGTGTGGAACCTGGGATTCAAGCTGACAGGCAGGAAGCACACTAGCAGTAACTCTGGCCTTGCAGAGATTCTCTGTTCCCCTTTTTTTCCTTTTCCCCCAGTGAAACCCTACCTCACTCACCCTTAAAATCATCTGCAAGCCTAAATTTTCTTGGCCGTGGGACAAGACCCCATCTTTAGCTGAACTAAGGAAAAGTACTACATCATTTTCAATATGAGATTTGGGGGATGGGATAGAGTAGATAGGAATAGAGGTAGGGTAGAAATGAGGTTTATACAAGTCTATAGTATTTACCTGTCTGAATATATATCTTTTAAAGTAAATAAATGAAAGCCTAAAAAAAGGTCAATTAAATTTTTTAGTAAGTTACTAAAAGAGAAATTGCCATTTATGAGAGAAATTATGGGGGGACATGATGCAGAAATTTTTTTGTGGAGGTCCCACTGATATTTAAGTGGACAAGGTCCATGGATGGATCTGAAGGTGTCTATTGAACCTTGAAATTGAATACAAAGTGTTAGCTCTCTTCCCATATGTGCATATCTCCAGGGGAATTATCTATAGTTCTCATCAGATTATCAAAGAACCCCATAATGCAAAACAAGTTACAAAACTAAAAATTTAGGAAAGTCTCTAGACTTACTTTTCCTGAATATCAAGATACTATATGACTTGGTTGTTATAAATATAAGGTCTGGATTCAAGAGACCTGGGATTACCATCAAACTTCACCGCTTACTAGTCGTGTGTCCCTGGGCAATTTATTCAAACTTTCTGGCCTCGCTTTTCTTATCTGCTATAGAAAGAAAATAGTAATATCTACTTAACATGATACTGTAAGGATTAAACTAAATAATGCATGTAAAGTGCTTAGCAAAATGCCAGACATGTAAGCACTCAAAAAATAGAGCCTACTATAATCATTCAACTTAATATCAGTACTGTGCTTACATAGCAAGTTTTGAAAGAGGTCAGATAATGCACTGAGTTTTGGACCTGTTAAATTTGAGATGCCTGGAGATACCTAAGTGGTATCTCCAGCTGAGAGCTGGATTTAAAGGCCTGGGATGCTAAAAAATGCTCAGCCATGTTATTACATTTTTGTTTTGTCTACACTCACCCTCTTGATGATCTCATCTAGTTTCATGCCTTTCAAAACCATCTATGTGCTGATGATTTACAAGTTTATATGTCCAGCTCAGACTTGTCCCTTAAAGTCAGACTCCAAATACCTACTCAACAAATAATTATTGGATGTTTTATAGGCATCTCAAAATTAATATGTGCAAAAACCAACTTCTAATCTTTCCCTTAACCTAACGCACCTAAAGCCTTCCACATCTTAATAGTGATTCCATTTTTCTAGTTAATCCACAAATTTTGAAGACATCCTTGATTTTCCTATTTTTCTTCTACCCCACATCCAATCCATGCTATTGAGTGGTTCTACTACAAAATATATCCATATCTAATTATTTCTCCCACTCTCTCTTGCTGCTACCCAATCCCAAGCTACTAATATCTCTCTCACTAGAATTATTGTGACAGTAACCTAACTGGTTTATCTGCTTCTACTTTTCTCCTAGAATAGTAGAGAGAATCAATTCTCAGCACAGCAAACAAATGATTCTTGAAATCAGACCAGGTCCTTCCTGTGCTCAAGGGCTCAAGGGCTCCCATCTCACCTGGGAAACAACCAAGAGCCTTTTCCATGATCAAGGCCCTACTCCTTTATTTCTTTAGCCTCATTTACAGATTTTCTCCTCACCAGACAGTACCCTCCAGCTCTAGTAATCTCCGTCCTGTGCTTCTAACATATACCAGAAACAGTACTACCTTCTCACTGGAATTCTCTTCTTTCAGATATCCAACCACGTGGCTCGCTTCTTTACCTTCTTCAAGTTTTTGCTCAAATGTCATCTCAGTGAGATATTCTCTGTTCAAACCAATTTAAATTGCACTCCCCACTCTACCTGTATCCTCCTTCCTCCTTTATTTCTTTCTATATTTATCACTAATGTGCTGCATAGTTTATTTAGTTATGTTATTTATTATCTGAAATCCCTTCCGGAATAGAAGCTCCAGAAAGTTGGATAATTTTGTCTGTTGTTTTTTTTTTTTTTCCTTCTCACTCCTCCCTCCAGCCCCATTGTTTTTCCCTCAGTGCCTAGAATAGTGCCTGGCACATGGTAGGTATTCAGTAAATATCCATTTATATTTTTAATTGCTTTAACTAATTTCTTGTAGTGTACTCATTCTTCCTCTGAACTTGGAATAAATTTTGCTGGGATAGGTTAAGAGACTGAGATTCTTAACTCTGAGTCAACCCCAAATGTTCCTTTCCAATCAATATCCACTCACTGTCCAGGAGCCAGAGTACCTCATGGCTTGTCTAACTCAGAGAGGTCACTTCACCTATAAAGAGAACATCTTGCAAAGTTGGATGGTGGGTAGGAGAGAATGGTTATGGTATTTTCTTCAGGAGTCTGAGTCCCTGATCTTTGAAGCCTCCTCAAGATTCCTCTTAGTGATGTTAATCAAATCCTCTTAGCAGAACTCCTGGCCATTCCCCCTAAATTCATTGACTAATCAAAAGAATTTTCATCACTTCTTCTCCCTTCCAACTCTTAACTCAGCATAAGCTAATTTGGACAGAGATATTATAAGGTGGAGTGGTGGATAGAAGGTACTCTCTTAAGCCTAACAGTAGGAAAAATCTGAGGTCTAGTTTGCTTTAAACACCTAGCTATATTGACCTGTCTATGAACTAACGTGGCAGATATCTGAGCCTTTCAAAACTTTCTGCACCTGTTCTTGTAACACAAGCTATCATCACCAGCTGAACCAAAGCGAGAACTTGGAGACAGGGAAGAACACAGTTCTTGTTCTCCTGACTGTGCTTAAAGAAGAGGGCAGGGCATCACCAGCTAAGGAAGCCAGTAAGGTGAGACTCAACTAGGTTGACAATAAAGTTACCATAAGAGCCAGGGAAGCCAGAGGGCTCTCATGTAAATCCAAGAGACTTCTCCTATTCCATTCACCATAAATTCTCCTAAAGTCCCTTCCTCATATCTCTAGAGGCCAATCTAGAGAGGTGTGTGGAGAAGAGGCATCTGAAATACAGGGTTTTTGAGATCAGCAGTGCAATTGCATTTAACAAACTGAACTCAGTGTAGTAGCCCCTGCTACTCAGCATTATATGGGCTCATAATAAAGATGCAATTAATTATAGAAAAAAATTAGAAGTACAGATTATTTGCATATCTAAGTATAATACGCATGAGTTTCCCTCCCTGTTACATTTGTAGTTTGCAGTCTAATACCAACAGCCTGTATTTCTCAGGGGGATCCTGATGGATCTTCTGTCCGGGTCTACTTTAGCCAGGCTAGCTTCTCCATCCCTGAGGGTTGGTGAATTGTCCTGGCTTTAGTTCTTTTACTCATCCAATCATTCATTCATTTTTCTTCCAGTCATTAAAATAAATGGGGGCAATTGAGACAAAGTGAGAAGAGTCCACTTAGAGACAGAAGTGCTGGTGCCAGCCCTCACAACCACCAACTGTTACCTCTTCTGTGACTTTGAGAAATCCCTTATCTGTGAAACAGCAATAATATAACAAGCCTCAAACTACTGGGATTTGTTTTAAATAAGATAATAAATATGAAAGATTCTAGTTTGAGATCAGCCTGGGCAACATGGTAAGGCCTCTGTCTCTATAAAAGAGAGAGAGAGAGAAGAAGAGAAGAGAAGAGGAGACAGAAAGAAAAGGAAAAGGAGGGAAGAGAGGGAGGGAGGGAGGAAGGGAGGAAGGAAGGAAGGAAAGAAAAAGGAAGGAAGGAAAAAAGGAAGAAAGGAAAAAGGAAGGAAAAAAGGAAGGAAAGAGAGGGAGAAGGGAAAGGAGGGAGGGAGGAAAGAAGGAAAGAGAGAGAAAGAAAGATCTGTATTTCAAAGACCTTTGTAAACTTAAGGCATTGTTATTATAAATACTAAAAAATAACCACCAACTCATTGACCACTACATGCCAATGAAGAGTGCAAACTTGAACAAGACACATTCCCAGCCTTGAACATTTTATAATCCAATGGAGTAGTGCCTCAGGCACAACCGATTTTTCTGTCTGGGTTCTCCTCTGGCTTATCAGAAATCAGTTTATTTCAGGCTGGGAAAGTTTAGGCAGGAAAATCATAAGGTTTGGCTTCAATACCTTTTCCTGAAATGAGTCACTTGATCATCTACAATTCCCTGATCCATGAAAGCGGCACCTGCACAGAGCTATTTCCTCATGTGCCAGGTGAACAAGAAATAGAACACAGACAGATACACACACTGCCAGACAAGGTTAGGGATGAAATGAATCTTGCAGAGAGCATATGCCTCTCCAAACTCACACCTTAGAAATTTCTGTTATGCTCCAAAGTACAAAGCAGAATATTTTAAAATTCCCTTGTATGGCGTTTATAATATTGTACATAAATCTCCCCGCTCATTTCCTTCATTATTCCACTCTATATATGTCTGGTGGGAAATTAAAGTAATCAAACAAATAATGAACACTTCAAAATTTGCTACTCAGGGGCCGGGAATCAGCCAGAGAAGCTACTGATATTAGGCAAAATGGATAGAAAATAGTTCACCTCTCCACCTCATTTTGTTGAAAAATACACACACACACACACACACACACACACATACTCATGTATTTACATATAATTTAAGATTATTATAATATACATTTTAAATTAAGCATGAGAACATGTCTCTCAGAGGCCCCATTGTGCTTGGGCATAGAGAAAGGGAGTTCAAAGGAAGTAATATGTGAATTAGGGAGAACTTAACTTACATCACTGTACACATGAAACATGTTATGTTCAGGGGTTTAACTCCCTTATGTCATTCTAAATATTTGTCTAGAAAACCAGAAAAAAAAAGCTGCTAAAAAATATTTGCAAAAATTTAAATGTGTGTGAGTGTGTGTGTGTGCGTGTGCACTTGTGCATCGTTTTTCTCTCCTGCTTCCATTCCTAAGGTGAAATCAAGTACAAAGATATTACCTTTCTTGAAGGGGAAAAAAGAGGAAACAGACAAGGAGTTTCTCTCCCAATACTCTGCAGGAGGAGGAGATAATTGAGCTTCCTCTCTATAATAAGACATGCAAACAATTAGGGGCCATGATCTGATGCCAAGGTAGGAGAAGCTGTGGGGCTGCTTTTATTCTTAGCCCATATTGTAGAGAGGGCATGGTTCTTTGGTTTCACACCAAAGTCAAAATAAGACAATAATGAGTCCGAGAGAACACCAGAGGTCTAATTAAATGTAAAAGTTTGATTCAGGGAGTGAGATGGTGGCCTTCCTTTTAGAAAGTCTTTTAAATTTCTTTAGTTCTTACTCCAAATGCTATCCATCTAAATTAAGTCTTACTTCGAGGTTATAGAAAGAAATAAATATATTCTTACAAGCTAGTAACTTGGATAACTGAAGTGTGGAAATACTGTCCAATACAGTATGACCCCTGCTGTGTACCCAATGATAGAAATAGCTAAAAGTAACTGAGCCTCTTCTACGCAGTCTGCATTGAGTATAACATTTATTCATTCATTAAAAAAATGTCTTGGACATGGAGCATGGTTCTAAAAAAATTTAGAGAGAGAGAGAGAGCGTGAAGTTCAGCTAATGATAAGACGCTATGAAGAAAATGAAGTAGAGAAATAGGCCAGAAACAAATGAGTGGGACAGAGACTATATTACATATTAGAGTGGAGTGTCCAGCGATGAGATGCAGTTCTCCAAAGCCCAGGCATAGCCCATTCCACACAGAAGGCACAGACATGAAAATGTCTGGAATCAAGAAAGAGCTTGATTTGTGTGAATAATTGAAAGTTCTGCGTAGATGCTGTTTTCTCCATTTCATAGATGGGAAAGTTGAGGTTCAAGAACTTTAAATAACTTACTGAAAGTTACTTTAAAAGTATGTGCCACTGCTGAGATTTCTTTTATTTTACTTTTTGGAAAAGTAAATTATTAACGTATTCACCAAAGCACTGTAATGTGTTACTCATTGGAAAGTCTCCTCATTTCTCCTTTGTCCCTGTCCACACCATTCCATCTCTCATCACCCTTCCCTTGCATGAACTAAAAATGGCTTAGCTTTAGCTGCTTGGGTATCATTCAAATGCTTACACAAATACAAGCAAATACAGTATTATACTATATCCTCCCCTTCCTTATATAGTATACTATATATACTGTACTAAATATTCCTTGTTTTATTTAAAAATATATCCTAGACACATTTCCATGACAGTGCCTAGAGTTTCTCATTTTACCACATACTACTTTCCTGTAGAAGTGAACAATAGTTTATATGATCAATCCTCTATTGATGGAAATCTAGCTGGTTTCTAGGTGTTTGCCAGTATAAACAATGAGTAACCTTGTATGTATTCCATTTTGCATTGGAAAGCTCACTGCCTTAGAGGAACTGATAAAATTTGCTTTATTCCCTTCCTTTGTGGTAGTAAACTTTTACTCCTACTAGTACTTCATGAGGTGTTTTCTCAAAAATCCATCAGAAAAGTATTTTATAAACTTTTGGATTTTTGCCCATCTGATTGGTTTGAAATGGTATCTCTGTGTTGGTCTTAATTGTGGCACTTCCTTTTTATTTATTTATTTATTCATCTATTTATTTATATTTTTTGAGACAGACTCCTTGGCTCACCGCAACCTCTGCCTCCCACGCTCAAGTGATCCTTCCGCCTCAGCCTTCAGCAGCTGGAACTACAGCACATGCCACCATGTTCAGCTAATTATTTTTATTTTTGTAGAGTCAGGGTTTCACCATGTTACCCAAGCTGGTCTCAAATTCCTGGGCTCAAACAATCTGCCCACCGTGGCTTCCCAAAGTGCTGATTACAGGTGTGAGCCACTGCGCCCAGCCAGCAGCTCTCTTTATATTAAGAAAATTAACCTTTTGTCTAGGATAGGAGTTGCAATTTTTTCCCTCAATTTGATATTTGCGATTTCATTTTATGTATAGAGTGGGGGGATTTTGTTCTTTTGTTTTGGTTTGTGCGACGTAGAAATTTTACAAATTTTACAAAAACATATGTTCATGTGAGAACATTGCTGGGGTCTCTCCCAGGGCCTTGGAATGCAACAATCCAAGTGAGGGGCTTCCCAGTAAGTCGGCTTCTAAAGGAAGGACTCTTAGGAAACATATTTATTTAGAGATTTAAATAATGAGAAAGCAGTAAATTGTGCAAAAATATAGAGAAAGGATGTTTTGGAGGAGTGACTTATCAAAGAATAAATTGGAGATGTTTGAGGAATTAAAAGAAAGCCATTGTGTAAGGAATATAGCTTCACTACCTACTTCACCTTTCGAACAAACTCAAGAACACAAAGATGTTAGGAACTCAATGTGTAACTTTTGCCTGGAGACTCATGTATAACTACAATGACCTTAAAGGAACATGTGAGATCAACCAATAATTTCTTACAATGTTTCATGGATCCCCAGAGACTAGGGGTAGAAGCGTTTATACAGAGGCTGAGTAAGCTAGGATTCAAGCTCCTCACTGCAGCCTCTTCACTACATTTTTCATGCATCTGTTTCATACCTTGGACTCCTCGTAAGAATTTATTTAAACCAAAAGCTCCATCATTGAGAAAAGTTAAAAACCCCTGAACCCCAACTCCATCACTTGATCTGGGTGGATACTGAAGCTTAGAAAGAGTGAATGGCTTGCCAAAGCCACAGTTAGATAGAGACACAGCCATTACAAAACCTCTATCCTATGATTCTCAATCAGAGGCTCTTTCCAGCATTCCCAACCCTAATCATGCCCTAGCCTAGTCTCCAATATATTTTCTTCCATGCAGTTGCTATTCTTTTAAAAAGCAGGGTGGTTGGTAGATGATTTCCATCCATTTATATTCTCTAACCATCTATAAGACAAAGAGAGCTCTGTACAACTTTCTCAGAGTAAGGCATTCTCTATTTGCCTCAGTGGAAGCTGGAAAGGGATCAGTGAATATTTTGCAGCTATAATTATACCAAATGGAGCTTCCACTAGAAATATTACTTACTGAGGCCAGGTGTCGTGGCTCACACCTGTAATCCCAGCACTTTGGGAGGTCGAGGCAGGCGGATCACTTGAGGTCAGAAGTTTGAGACCAGCCTGGCCAACATGGTGAAACCCTATCTCTACTAAAAACACAAAAAAAATTAGCTGGACATGGTGATGCACATCTGTAGTTCCAGCTACTCGGGAGGCTGAGGCAGGAGAATTGCTTGAACCAAGGAGACAGAAGTTGCAGTGAGCCGAGATTGCGCTACTGCACTCCAGTCTGGGTGACAGAGTGACACTCTGTCTCAAAAACAAAAAAGAAAAAGAAAAAGAAATATTACTTATTGGAAGCTCCACAACAGAGTTAAGGAATGATGCCTGTGGTTGGAGTGAAAAGACCAGATGTCAAGCACCTCTCCTCTCCATTCCTACCACCCCCATTCTTTTTCAGGTCCTCATCACCTCTCACCTTAATCCATTGCACAAACCTCTGACTGTTCTCTCTGCCTCCAGTTCTTCCCCCATTCCAGTTTGCCCTCCACAGTCTTGCCCAATTAATCGCCTTTCAAGTAACACAATTAAAAACACTCTCCACAGTCTGGGGCTCTCTTGCCGAATAAAACTGTAGAAATCACAAAATCTCACCAGGCGCGGTGGCTCATGTCTGTAATTCCAGCACTTTGGGAGGCCGAGGTGGATGGAGCACTGGAGGTCAGGAGTTTGAGACCAGCCTGACCAACATGGAGAAATCCCATCTCTACTAAAAATACAAAATTAGCAAGGGTTGGTGGTACATGCCTGTAGCTCCAGCTACTTGGGAGGCTGAGGCAGGAGAATCTCTTGAACCTGGGAGGTGGAGGTTGTGGTGAGCCGAGATCATGCCATTGCACTGCAGCCTGGGCAACAAGAGTGAAACTCCATAGAAAGAAAGAAAAAAGAAAAAGACAGAGAGAGAGAGGAAGGAAGGAAGGAAGGAAAGAAAGAAAGAAAGAAAGAAGGAAATTACAAAGTCTCTAATAATATTAAAATCCAATTACCTAAACTTGGCATTCAAAGCTTTCTGCAATCCAATGCTAACATTATAATTCTCACTTTATCTCCAATTCCTGCTTTAATTCATGCTGTAATCCAGAAATTCAAAACATTTCTCATTCCTACTCCATGCTCTATATCTTCGCAAATGGAGGTCTTTATTTATCTTGTTACCTGTCCCCACATGTCCTCCCCTGACTGATGTCATTGGAAAGCTTCTCCATCTTTCATGGTCTAATTCCTTGTTGTCTCCTTTATGAAGCCTTCATTGACCATGTCAAGCAAATGAGAATTCTTACACCTTCAACCCCCTGTTACAGATCATATAGACATTCTCATGGCAGTGTTAACATACTGCTTTGTGTCATCATGAATTCTGAAGTTATTTTGTTCCCATTATAGAGTGTGAGCTCTCTGAAGGCAAAACTAACCTATTTATCTTTATATCTCCTAAAGGGCCTAATACATCTCTAGGTGCACAGAAAGGATTTAGTTCCATATTTGACGAAAGGACAGGGCTGAGTTATCCTTAGTGTTCAACTCCTCCATTTTAGAACCAGACCATATAGAATAGGTCAGGAATTGAAAAGAGATATCTTTATGAAATATCCAAACAGAGGGGAAAGGACAGCAAATAAACATCCAATAAAACTAGTCATAGCTGAGTGACACTGTGCCAAATTAGAAAGAACATCAGCTAGAAAGCCAGATCCAAATATGTCAGATTCCCAAGTCACTTTCCAGCTCTGGAACTTTGAACGGGTCCCTGTCCATTCTCAATCTCATTTGCAAAATGAGGCTACAGGTCTGCTGTGAAGACAACTGGAGAAATTGCAATTAACATTTTAGAACATTATAGGTTATGCGGTAACAACAACAACTACAAGAATCAGCAGACCAACCACAGAGCTGAATGTGTTATTGAGCCTCAGTGTGCAGAGGCATGAAAGGGAGGTTTGTGACTTTATCTTGTCACCTGAAGGGTTCATTAGACCTTCAGAAGGCACCTTTTCCCTTCTGTGAGAATTTGTTTTGCAGGCTCTGCAATTATCATCAGATCATCATCATCAGATGATGCACAGGACATGAGATTGAAAACAGCACATCCAAAAAACAAAAAAAGTATGCACCTAGAATGAAATACCTAAGGACATTTCTAATTAGGGAGGGAGAGAGTAATCAGGGATGATGCTGAAAGGAGATGTCAGGCCTGGCATTGCTAAAATGAAAAGGAAGGGAAGCTAGGAGTTATTTTAACTGAAACTTGCACCCACCCACCCAGCCTCCTCCATCTCAGAGAATCGATGACAGAATAGAATTTGAACATCTCTGGGTTTTAGTTAGCCATTGACACATTGATTCCCTCTATAAGCAAGTATTGAGCACTAGTTAGTGGCAGGTTTAGGAAACTGAGAAATAAGGAATTCATGGTCTAGTTCAGGAAAGATACAAATGAGGTATGACAAGAGCTACAATCGCACCATACCCAGGTACGGTAAGAATACAAAGGAGTTCCAGCCCTACCAAGAGTGATCATTATAAGATAAAAGTGATATGGAAAACTGAGTTTTGAAAAATGACCAAGGGGTTTCCAAGAAGGCAAGGTGTGTGGGGTACTCCAAGCAAAAGGAGTTGCTTCCGTGTGACTCTACACATAGTCTAGCTCCTGGCAAGTTGTAGGAGCACAGAAAATGCAAGAGGGTGGCAGATGGCAAACCACAGGTGGGCAGAGACCACACACTCTCCCTTTCTTGTGTACCTCCCAATAATTCCTAGCAGGATATTTGGCACATTATGTGTTCTCAGGAGATCAGAGTTCTTAAACACCTTGTTATCTGTAGACCTAACCTTTATATCTAGTAGGGAGAATTCAGAAGTGTACTTTATCTATGGTCAACAGGAGGAGACTGATTGCCTGAAGATGATCTGGTAGCAGCCAGGCTCCTGGCCCCATTCTGAAGAACTTGACATAGCTGGAAAATCAGACATGGCTGGAAGAAACTTCAGATATATTGTTTCTTAACTTGGCATCTCAACAACTCTAAGAAAAAATCCATTTTTATTTAAATTGTAAAAATAATGTGTCTATTAAGATTACCACCCTTGTTATCAAGTTCTGACATGTAATTTTGATGCTCAATTTTTATGTTTGTTGTTTTGAATATCTTGACCCCAAATGAACATCCAAAGTGACCGCTTTTGACTTCTAATTCAGTATTTTTTGGGATTTCCAAGTCCTCCAGCTTGAGAACAACTTCATTGGATACAATGTCTCAATGAAAGATAAAGATATGGAGACCCAGAAAGGAGAAATAACTTTGTAGTGCATCCAGCTGCTCAGTAAGGTGACTAGAACCCAGGGTGTTTCAATGTTTGCCATATCCCAGTCCAGCCACCAACCCTCTGAAAAGGCAGTCAACAGTACTATCACTTCCAAGATCTCCAGATATAAATCCAAATTTCAAATTCAGCTCACAATTCACAGTGGTGCATTTGACCTTTATGGTAAAAGTTACAGTTTCTACTTTATCTTGGACAATATCCATGCCCCACCTCTCTGAGAAGCAGACAGAATAGGTCAGGATAAATTAACTCCTATTTAGGGAAATAAGAATAGCTTTTTTGTAAAACCAAGTTCTCTCATTGTATAGAATTTGTGACTTCACACATACTTTACTTACATTATGAAGAGATGATACCATGAAATTTCTGATTGTGAAGAAAACATTGCTTTATTGTTAATTTAAGAAAGGTAGCCACTGCTTTTCTGTTAGGAAATTTTGAAAGCAGAGCAAGCCATCAATTTTTGACGTCTTTTACATATATTTGGTAACAAGTAGTCACTGAATAAATGACAAATTGATGTTACCTAAATACTCAATGCAATAAATAGCTTAGAACTGGGAGATGAGTGAGCCACAGGGTATGGGGATTTGTGGAACTCTAAGAACATGGCTATTCAGCAGAATCACCTGGGGAACACTTTGAAAAATGCAGACTCTGGAACCCAACCCCAGACTAACTGAATCAGAATTTCCACAGGCTGGTATCCAGAACCTGACATTTATACAAGCTTTTCAAGTAACTTTGATGATTATCTAATCCACCCAAATGAACTCCTGCCATATTTTTCAGAGCAAAAGTTTCTAAGTCAAAATGATGAAATCAACAATCAGTCAATTATAATCCTACATGAAATATAAAATCTTCCAAGATCAAAATAATTCAGAACAGCTGCCACTTTTTTTTCATTTAACTGTTTCCTCCACTTGAGACCCTATTTACTTATTCATTGAACAAATAATTATAAAATGCCTACAGTACTACAGCTGGGGATATAATTGTGAATATAATATATACGGCCATTTTATCAGGGAACCTATATACCTCAGTCACTGGAGTACTATGAGAGTTCTATCCAGGAAGTTTTTCTGAATTTATAAACTTGACTTCTTTTTCCTGGCATCTCACTTTTCACACTTGCTGCAGACAAGCTTCTTGGCTTCCTGGTCTAAGTGGTGGAAAGTAACCACTGCCAACAGCTCTCAGATTCACATCTCCTCCCTTCATGATGATAACTACTTCCAAAAGAAATTCACTGGCTTGACATGGGTTGAGTAGGTCTCCTGGGGCAGCCCGTGGCCTGGAGGAAAGAGTTCCATTATAAGAACATGATGCTCCAATGGAACCATGTCCTTAGAAAGAGGTTAGGGCAATTCCATTGGAAAGAGATGAATAGACAATTTGATACATTCCAACTGCACTTCTCTGAGGACTACCCGTGCACCTCACAGCATGAATCCTATGCCATTCATTTGGGCTGCTCAGAGTTTTCTTCTTGTCTGAATTTTGGCTCTGTTCAGGTAATTGAGTTATTTTTTCATTCTTTCATTATTCATTCATAAAACATTTATTAGACATTGACCTGGTCCACATCTTCGGGATAAGAAAAAGAAAAAAAGAAGCACCATGTTGTTTCTCTTGGAGCTCACAGATTACTGAAGGAGGCAAATGTATAGACACGTAATGATTATTTACTGTGACAGAGACATGCACTAAGTACTAAGGAAACCCAGGGGAAATTTAATGAATTTCACAGATTTCCCTAAATGAGTCTTAATGAATACAAGGGAGTTTTCTAGATTGGCTAGAGTGAGGGGGCTCCCAAAGTATGTTATGATAACGAAGTTAAGGAATGTGTAGCAGAAGGAAGTTTCATGGCTGAGAGGTGAAGTAGTGACTATAAATGGAATAATACAAAAAAAAGTCTTCCCAGCCATATCATTGGCAAGCTGTGCAAACTTGGGCAAGTTACTAAAACTTTCTATATTTACCTCATAAAATTGTGGTGAGAATTAACTTTCTAGTGGAGGTGAAGTTAATTTTTAAAGTAGTGCTGGAATGTCTTGAATTCTTAATAAATTTTTAGGTATTAATGTTTTATTATTATATTTAATAATGTTTTATTATTGTTATCATGATCATTATCATCATTATTTCAAACAAATATGTGACTCCAAGATATGCTTCTAAAATTTTTACTTGTGAGAGGAGAGTTTATTTTGTTTATCATCATATCACGGAGATTGTGATTTGGACTTGGCCCAGGGTACAAAGTAGTGTAATAGGAAAATAAATCTTGGGACCCCAAAATCACTAAGCCAGAGGGAAAAGTCAAGCTGGAAACTGCATAGGGCAAACTTCCCTCCCATATTATTCCTAAATAACATAGCTACAAAGATAAGAAGCTACATTCATTTCTCACAATTTTCCCAGAAGGAAATTTCTTGTGGACAAAGAACAGACAGAACTCAAAGTCATCCCTCTGAGCTCACCTGAGACAAATATAGATCTGATTGCTTCCTCTGCCCTACTGTTTATGTAAAAATGCAGATTCACTGATCCAGACTAAATTGTGTATTCAGAAGAGGGCTGATCAAGGACTCCAAAGAATGCAACCTTTTATCTCTTATCTACTTCTAATGTGGAAGCCCCCACTTCGAGTTGTCCCACCTTACCAGACCAAACCAATGTATATCTTACACATATTGATTCATGTCTCATGTCTCCCTAAAATGCATAAAAGCAAGCTGTACCCTGACCACCTTGGGCACATGACCTCAGGACCTCCTGAGGATGTCACAGGTGCATCCCTAACTTTGGAAAAATATACTTGCTAAATTGACTGAGACCTGTCTCAGATATTTGGGTCTCACATTTTGGTAACCATGAAGGGATTCTGAGTGCAGATACCCCTGACCTTTGGTAAATTTCCTGTTAGTGCTTGGTACCAACTTGAGCTATCTTTGTGGCTCAAACTGTAACCACCCAATGGATTCACGCTGCCCACTCCCTAGACAGAGCTGATTTATCAAGACAGGGGAGTTGTAATAGAAAGAGTCATTCACGCAGATCAGAGTTTTATTGTTACTCAAATCAGTCTCCCTGAGCATTTTGGGATCAGAGTTTGTAAGCACAACTTGGTGGATGGGGGAAAGCCAGTGAGCCAGGAGTGCTGATTGGTTAGGTAGGAGATGAATCATAGGGAATTGAAGCTGTCCCCTTGCACTGAGTCAGTTCCTGGGTGGGGACCACAAGATCAGATGAGCTACTTAATCAATCTGGGTGACACCAGCTGATCCATCAAGTGCAGTGCCCAAGACGATGGGAAGCCACCTCTTACATCAGCATGACCTAGATGTGAGACATGGAGTCAAAGGAGACCATTTGGAGCTTTAAGATTTGACTGCCATGCTGGATTTCAGACTTGCATGGGGCCTGTAACACCTTTGTTTTGGCCAATTTCTCCCCGTTGGAACAGCTGTATTTGCCCAATACCTGTACCCCATTGTATCTAGGAAGTAACTAGCTTACTTTTGAGTTTACAGTCTTATAGGCAGAAGGGACTTGCCTTGTCTCAGATGAGATTTTGGACTTTGGACGTTTGAGCTAATGCTGAATGAATTAAGGCTTTGGGGGACTTTTGGAAAGGCATGATTGGTTTTGAAAAATGAAGACATGAGATTTGGGAGGGGCCAGGGACAGAATGATGTGATTTGGCTCTGTGTCCCCACCCAAATCTCATCTTGTAGCTCCCATAATTCCCACATGTTGTGTGAGGGACCCAGTAGGAGATGGTTGAATCATGGGGGTAGGTGCCACTCACCTATTTTGAGGTGTTCTGTTTTCTTTGTGGGGTTTCAAGAGTCATAGAAAGATATTTCTTAGGTCTAAAGCTCTGCTCTTCTCTACTGTATTACCTGACCTCTTTGGCTTTAGGGGAACCAGGGATGACCTTGTACTGTGAGATGATTTGACCTTGGCTTGTGTAATGTCATATGGGAGCTACAAATTTAGGGGTGGATAAGGATACTTTACAGAAAGTGGTCTTGGTTGTTTTGTTGTTTATTTTCTTTCCTAGGAAGTTGTTTATGGATCCAACTCTTAATTTGGAAGTGCATTCTAAAGGGTCTTTTCCATTGCTTTTTCTCCCAAAATTAATCTTGATTTGGCTTGCCTGTGTGCATTTTTGTGAGGAACTGAACTGTTATTTACACAGGTAAATGAGAGACTGAGTTTCCTCAGCTCAGAAGAGAAAGGGCATTTTGCTCCTCCCAACCGAAAGGCACTCTTTGGGTGACTGTGGACCTTGTTGGAGTGTAGGGGGTCCTGACCCCCTGTGACATACAGAGGCCCTACAGGGAACCCCCAACAAAATTAGTTTAAAGAAAGACTCATACAGGAAGCACACAAGGGAGCTGGTCACTCGGCACTTGAGCCCTCCTGGAGGTGCTAGACCTTTAGAGAGAGAAACTGAGACACATAAGAGGGTGACAAGGACTCAGTGGTGACACACTGTGGAGTCCCGCCTGCAAGCAGCCCACTTTCACCCACTCTACAAAACCCTAGTCCACAGCTCAGTTCCTCCTTTTAAGAAAAAAAGAAGTGGGAAACAAATAATCTATGAATGAGGAGAAAATGACCCCCTTTCAGGTACTCCATCGGTTTTATGGCACCTCTACTTGCTAGATAGTGTTTGTGTAAAATGGAAATGTTATGGTCTATTGCATCAAGGAAAAAGACCCCCAAGCTCTCTAGAATTCCTAAGTTCTCTTTTCATCTATTTTCTTTTCTGCCTGCTTTAAATCTGCTGTTACTTTTCTACTGAGATAAAAACCACTATTTGAATCCAAGCTTTTTTTTGGAAGCCAGTGAATTTTATCTATCTCATGGCTAGAGTTCTAAAGTAAAAGCTATAGAATCTTTTTTGTGTGTGTATGTGTGTGTGTGCAAATATATATATATATATATATATTTAAAAGACTTTTATAATTTTATGTTTTATGTTTAACTGGCAATTAAATTGATTTTCATTTCCCTTTAGCACACCAGCTTTTTTCTCTATATAGTTTGAGATGTAAATTTTACTATCTGATTTTCACCTAAGAGTGGTTTCCTTTAACCTGAAAATTCAGAGCTGTTCAGCTGACAACTGCCTAGGGTAATGAAAAAGGTTATCAATAATTTGCAAGTTTAAGATAAGAAAAAGAAGAGGTCTTATGAATCTGTAAGATGCGCTTCTATTGGCGTGCCTAATACGTTTATGTATTTATGTGTTGTGTACACAATGTTTCACTACTGAAAATATATAAAATACCTCTAATTGGCTTAAAGAAAAATAAAAGCACTTAAATCAAATACTCTCTTTAAAAAAAAGTCAAATGCTTTTCCAATATCACATGACTTAAGTAAGCTTTTAATAAATAAGCTGGCTTTAAAATTATTGGTAAAATAACATTAGAACTGTCTTAAGAACTGTTAGCATTTTTATTTGCATTTATTGGTCAAGCAGTTTTTTGCTTATTCCTGCAGAATACTATGAGATTGACCTTAAAGTTTACAAAACTATAAAACACAGCCCAAGACAGAATGATCTTTGCTTGTGTAATTTTTGATAAATAAGACATGAAATATTGTTGGTTTAATGAAAACATCTAAATCCTGAATTATCGTTTAAAAATATACCTTTATATTTAACCTTAAAGTTCTTGAGTAACACTTGAAATTCACAGCTATAAAAATGGTTAACAGGGAAATAACTTTAAATAATGACTATCACAGTTAATCTAGGTAAACTATTAAATATATTAATTAGGTAAATGTAACAGATTAAATGCTTGTAAACAAACTTGTCATGTAATTTAGGATCTAAAGTTATTAATAGATATTAAGTGTTTGAGAAATTTTCAAATTTAAAAATTATTTTTAAAACTTTAAAAAGATGTTCTTATTAAAACGTAAATGTCTTGTTCTAATTCAGAGCTTATTTAAAGGTTATATATAAAACAAAGTAAAAGGAACCAGGAAATAAGAGAGATATAGAGAAAGTTATAGAAATGAAGAGGTATTTTTGGTAAGAATGCTTAAACAAAAATAATTTTATATGAGACAGAATCTTGTACAGTAAATCTTATCCTAGAATAAAATGACTGGTTGTTTCAGAAACAGAGACATTTAGGACAAACTAGAAAGTTCAAGCATGCCATGAATGCTCTGTGTAAATCATAATAAGAGGACTTATTTAAAAAATCTTTTATATGACCAAGTTTTCTATAATTAAAGGGAAGTTACAATCATTTTTCTGAAGATTTGGTTTTGATTAAAATAATTATACACTAAATAACTGGTTTGAACTACAAAATTTTCTTAAGATATTGCTTTACATGCTTAATAAATTATAAGACACTATAATTTTTTCTGCAAAATTCAACTTTTATTGCATCTTGCTGTTTTCAGCTTTCTCTCCCCCTTTAAAAGTCCTGAAATAATAACTTTATCCTTCAACTCATTTTCAGTTCCTGTAAGTTTTTTTCCCCCCTTTGAGTTCTAACTGTTGTGGTTTGATGCTTTAAAAAAAAAAGTTATATCTTAAAGGTCTAAAGGAAATGTTTCCTTCCAATATAATATTCCTCATAGGGAAGAGCAATCACACTACAGAAGGTCTTTTCTTTTGCCTTTGGGTAACTGGCCTAATAAACAGATCTTATGCTTTATTGAAATAATTCCTATGTCATTATTCCTAAGTTTGGTTTGCTTATGAAAAACTGCGATTAAAAAAAATTTAATTCAGGTTATTGCATACATATAACTTTCTGTATGTGCCTTTAAGTCTTTGTGCCATTAAGTTACAGGGCTTTGACGCCTGGTTCTAAAAAGGACACCAAGTCTTGCTAAATCTTAACACTGATGGCAGTTAAACCCTCATCTTCAGACCCAGTAAAAGATGCAAATCAAAGTAAATTGTGTTCATAAGACACCAGGCCAGAAATTAAAGCTATTCCACTTCTCATGGCCTGGGAACTATCACAGAAGAGATGGGCATGTAAAATTGTAAGGGCCAATTTTGAGAGATAAAATAAGTTCAGTTTCTCTATAAATAAACCATTAATATCAAAGCACACTGCCTCATGCTGTTTCTATTGGGGCTTATTGTTTGAAATATTAAATCTCCTTTCTTAAAGAATAAAGGTTTTACACCTTTTTTTTGAAATCCTTGAGTTATCACTTTGGTTAAATGAATAACTTATTTTACAATGACCAGTGATGCTATTTTGTGATATCAAGCATTTTAAATCTTTGGTATTTGACAAACTTTCCAAAATCAAATTATAAATTATAATGTCTTTTTCTGATCTAATTAATCCTTTAAGATATTATATTCCCTAAAGTCCAAAAATGACATATTTGGCTTATTTAGTATAAAAATCATACAGGAAGCATTGTCAAATATGAAATGATGTTTGGCTTCCTTTGGACTGTATTTGTTTAAATATGTTATTAGTATGTGTTTCAAAATTATGGGAAACTCCTCTAATTCTGATATGATTTAGGGCACTTTATCAGTAATAATTATAATTGTTATGTTAAAATACTGTGTGCCAGAGAGATAACAAATTTCCTTGTCAATTGTGTCTTTGACTATGGCACCTTTAAAACATTTTGTCATCCACAGACTATTGTTGTTTTGGTCTTCTTTAGAGGGTAGTTTTATAACCAGCTATAAAACTCTAACAGGTGTTCTTGAATGCAGAGTTCTGATACCTTTGAGCTTGTGACATAAGAATAGATGGAAAAACTCAGTACTCTCATGGAGAGATGGAATGTTCATGAATATCATGCAGAACAGGAGTTTACTGCACGGACTGAACTAATAGAAGACTGAAATAATCTGTTTTGACTTTTTTGCTTAAGACATTGCTGATCCTTTGTTTTGTTTTTCAGAGTCAAGAAAACTTTTTGGGCAGGGCATGGTGACTCACACCTGTAATCTCAGCACTTTGGGAGGCTGAGATGGGTGGATCATCTGAGGTCAGAAGTTTGAGATAAGCCTGGCCAACATGGTGAAACCCCATCTCTACCAGAAAATACAAAAATTAGCCAGGCATGGTGGTGCGTGCCTATAGTTTCAGCTACTGGGGAGGCTAAAGTGGAAGAATCACTTGAATTCAGAAGGCAGAGTTTGCAGTGAGCCAAGATTGCACCACTGAACTCAAACCTAGGGGGCAGAGTGAAACTTTGTCTCACAAAAAAAAAAAAAGAAAAGAAAAAGAAAAAGAAAAGAAAACTTTTTGAGCTATTTACAGCTTGTAGGAATTGAGGTAAAGTATACTCCTGTGAACAAAATTTGGAGCATATTTATTTCTTTCTGCCTGATTTTTCCAGAATTTGGAAACTATTTATGAGTATTCTTAACTTATGGCAGTATATTTATTGGCATAAGTGCAATATGCCTGTTTTCTTTTGCAACAGGACACCATTGCAGAAACTGGTTATTTTACCAAGGCTTTGACTGGAATAGTGTGCTTCCCTTTAAGGAATCAAACTTGACTTTTGGAGCTAATAAAAGCCCCTTGGGAAAACTGCTCTCTTACCTTGTCTACACAGTCTCTGGACAGAGTTCCTGACCTGTGGTAAGTAAAGAATGCCACTTTCTGACAGGCTCAGGAGCCCCAAGTTATCTTGGGACCTCAAGAGGAGAGGAATCTACCCAACTCATAGTTATTTGATGGTACAAAGCCGTGGCTGGGTTTGGCTTTAAAGAAGTCTTACCTGAGATTCCTTCTATGGAACAAAGTTCCATGAAAGCCAATTAAAAAGGCCTATATGAAAAAAATAATTACTCTTGCTGCACTTTATACAGATAATCAGTCCACATATAATAAAGCAAATTGGTCCTACCATGATTTGTCTTTAGCAAAAATGGGAAACTTGAGAGAGAAAAATTATGTTTTAGAAAGTATATCATACCTATTACTAGATTCTAGTCTTGCCTAATGGTTTTCCATTTTTACTATTTTCCACAGTTTGGACTGAATCCTAATATTTCCTGGCTACAAGTCTCCAAAATAATGTTTTCATTTTTTTTCCTTCTTTCTGTTCCTCTCACTCCCCACCCCCATTTTTCCTAATTTAGAATCACTGAAAACTAAGTTGTGATTTCTTAAACTCCTGCAAACTGAAGCTAGATAACTTAAACTTCAGAAGAAAATAACAACCTATTTACATACACTTTCATACCTGCCTACTGATGTACGGACTTCAGAGTAATATGACCTATTACAGTTTTCCAGGATTGTTTCTTTTTTGTTTGTTGTTGTTGTTCTCCCTTCTTCTCTTATGTTCTCTTCATAGAACGTGAGACTTCACAACCTGCTAAAAATGAGCTTTCCTTATACAGTGGGACCTACTCATCTGGGGATAAACCATCCTAGCCATGAGAGATTAGACAAAACCTGAGACCAGAGACTCATTTTCTTCTCAAATGCTTTCTCCAAAAGATTTTAAAAAGAAAAGCGTGGGGGGAAATGTGAAAGAAAAATAAATCTTCGATGCCCCAAATCACTAAGTCAAAGGGAAAAGTCAAGCTGGAAACTGCTTAGGGCAAAAACCTGTCCCCCATTTTATTCCTAAATAAGATAGTTACAAAGATAAGAAGCTATGTTCCTCCCACACAATTTGCCCACAGGGAAATCCCTTGTGGACAAAGGACAGACAGAAATCAAAAGTCATCATTCTGACACTCACCTGAGGCAAATTCATAACTGATTGTTTCCTCTGCCCTACTGTTTATGTAAAAATGCAGATTTGCCTAACTAGACTAAATTGTGTATATAGTGGAAGGCTGATCAAGGACTCAAAAGAATGCAACTTTCTATCTCTTATCTACTTCTAACCTGGAAAACCCTACTTTGAGTTGCCCTGCCTTATTGAACCAAATGAATGTACATCTTACACATATTGATTGATGTCTCATGTCTACCTGAAATGTATAAAAGCAAGCTGTACCCCGACCACCTTGGACACATGTCTTCAGGGCCTCCTGAGGGCTGTGTCATGGGTGCGTTCTTAACTTTGGCAAAATAAACTTCCTAAACTGACTGAGACCTGTCTCAGATATTCAGGTTTCATGGTATTAAGTTCAGAGAACACATGCACTAGGTTGCTGACAAGGTCATGGTGGATCTCACAGGATTAGCAGAGGAAATTCCATTGCAGTGTAACCTCCCTCCTCATGAAATGCAATCCCACACAGCAGCAGGCCCAGGTGAGAACACATACTGCTTTTGCATAGCCGCATACCCTGATCTCAAGTTGCCAATACCACTTTGTTTGGTAAAAGACTGTTACTGGGTGCACCATTCAGCCCATTCCCCTAGTGGAGACTGTAAACCAAAATCCAACCATTTTCTTTCAAATCCAACCATTTCTATTTGAACCATTGGGGGGAATGTTCCAAAGAACAAATTAATTTTGTAAAACACACCATGCTCCCCAAGGAGCTAGATTTCAACTTTAGAATGATTTCCTATAGATATTCTTGGGAGTTTGGCTCAAGTGATGATATCAGTGCCCTTTTAGGTTTTGGTGCAAATTACAGAATTCTTCTTACCCCTTCTTCTCCTTTCTCTATCTCTTCAACCAATTACCAAAAATGAGGACAGTAGCATTTTGAACCAGAGTATTTGATTCTGAATCTTTTCTGATTCTATTCATTTTCCCCATGATTTAACCACAGACACCAACCTTTTTGGGCCAGCTTCTTCTTGCTATATATAATGCTATATAATAATATTCTTCCTGCTAAAATCTTCCAGTCACTGTACAGGTGGTTGAAAATGGAAATAGGAAAGTCACAGTCTCTGCCCTTAAGTGTGTATGTGTGGCAGGAGTGAGGGCAGGGTGTCAGTGAGAGACAGGACTATCTGGATTTCCTAGGCTAGGAATTC